>NC_000008.11:36223738-36526769 GCF_000001405.40 Homo sapiens
AACACGGAGAAACCCAGTCTCTACTAAAAATACAAAAAAATTAGCTGGATGTGGTGGTGCATGCCTGTAGTCCCAGCTACTTGGGAGGCTGAGGAAGGAGAATCACTTGAACCCAGGAGGTGGAGGTTGCAGTGAGCCGAGATTGCACCACTCCACTCCAACCTGGGTGACAGAATGAGACTCTGCCTCAAAAAAAAAAAAAATTATTTGCCATGTCATTAAGACACACTCAGTCACTACTTCATTCAGTCCTCGTGAGTCAACACACACTTGTGAAGTATGTATTAGACTAATGACAAGAGATAAACAAATAGGGGTCTTTGCTTCCATGATGGCCTCCCTACCTCCCTATCAGAAGTCCATCAGAGAAACACCATTTTAATCTGTGCCATGGCCAGATTATTTGTTCTAAATTCTGGCTCATCAGATAATACACATGAAGAAACTTTTGGGCAGCCAGTTATCTTGTTGGGATTAGGAATGTTGTTTATTGTTAATGGAAATTAAAAATAAATTTTTAGTTCTTGTTCAACTACCTTGAAAAGTATACCCATAGCAATCTTTGCTGTTCTGCAGCCTTCACTGGTGATACCCTGGTGAACAGGGTCTAGAGTGGACCTCCAGCAAACTGCAACAGACTTGCAGAAGAGGGCCCTGACTGTTAGAAGAAAAACTAACAAACAGAAAGCAACAACAACAACAAAAAAGACCCCCCGCAAAAACCCCATCCAAAGGTCATCAGCCTCAAAGATCAAAGGTAGATAAATCCATGAAGATGAGGAAACAACAGTGCAAAAACGCTGAAAATTCCCAAAGCCTGATGCCTCTTGTTCTCCAAATGATTGCAACACCTCTCCAGCAAGGGCACAAATTTGGACAGAGGATGAGATTGATGAATTGATAGAATTAGGCTTCAGAAGGTGGGTAATAAAAAACTCATCTGAGCTAAAGAAGCATATTCTAACCCAATACAAGGAAGCTAAGAACCTGGATAAAAGGCTACAGGCACTGCTAACTAGAATAACCCATTTAGAGAGGAATATAAATGACCTGATGGAGCTGAAAAACACAGCACAAGAACTTCATGAAACACACCCAAGTATCAATAGCTGAATCAATCAAGCAGAAGAAAGGATATCAGAGATTGAAGACCACCTTGCTGGAATAAGGCATACAGACAAGATTAGAGGAAAAAGAATGCAAAACAATGAATGTAGCCTACAAGATATATGGGACTATGTGAAAAGACCAAACCTGTGATTGATTGTTATACCTGAAAGTGACGGGGAGAATGGAACCAAGCTGGAAAACACACTTCAGGATATTATCCATGAGAACTTCCCCAACCTAGGAAGACAGGCCAACATTCACATTCAGGAGATACAGAGAACACCACTAAGATACCCTACAAGAAGATCAACCCCAAGACACATAATCATCAGATTCTCCAAGGTCAAAATGAAAGAAAAAATGTTAAAGGTAGCCAGAGAGAAAGGTCAGGTCACCTAAAAAGGAAGCCCATCAGACTAACAGTGGATCTTTCCAGAGAAACCCTACAAACCAGAAGAGAGTGGGGGCCAATATTCAACATTTTTAAAGAAAACAATTTTTGACCAGAATTTCATATCCAGCCAAACTAAGCTTCATAAGAGAAGGAGAAATAAAATCATTTCCAGACAAGCAAATGCTAAAGGATTTAATCACCACCAGGCCTGACTTACAAGAGCTCCTGAAGGAAGCACTAAATATGGAAAGGAAAAACTGGTACCAGCCACTGCAAAAACACACCAAAACATAACGACCATCAAGACAAGCCTGGACAACATGGTGAAACCCCGTCTCTACTAAAAATGCAAAAGTTATCTGGGCATGGAGGCAGGCAACTGTAATCCCAGCTACTTGGGAGGCCGAGGCAGGAGAATTGCTTGAACCTGAGAGGCAGAGGTTGTAGTGAGCTGAGATTGTGCCATTGCACTCAAGCCTGTGCAACAAGAGCAAAACTCCCTCTCAAAAAAAAAAAAAAAAAAAAAGACTGATGACACTATGAAGAAACTACGTCAACTAGTGTGCAAAATAACCAACTATCATCATGATGGCAGAATCAGATTCATACATAACAGTATTAATCTTAAATGTAAATGGACTAAATGACCCAATTAAAAGAGAAAGACTGGCAAATTGGATAAACAGTCAAGACCCATTGGTGTGCTGTATTCAGGAGACCAATCTTATATGCAAAGACAAACATAGGCTCAAAATAAGGGATGGAGGAATATTTACCAAGCAAATGGAAAGCAGAAAAAAGCAGAAGTGGCAATCCTAGTCTCTGAAAAAACAGACTTTTAACCAACAAAGATCAAAAAAGACAAAGAAGGGCATTACATGATGGTAAAGGGTTCAATGCAACAAGAAGAGCTAACTATCCTAAATATATATGCACCCAATACAGGAGCACTTAGATTCATAAAACAGGTTCTTACAGACCTACAAAGAGACTTAGACTCCCACACAATAATAGTGGGAGACTTTAATACCACACTGTCAATATTAGACAGATAGATGAGACAGAAAACTAACAAGGATATTCAGGACATGAACTTAGCTCTGGATCAAGTGGACCTAGTAGACATCTACAGAACTTTTCACCTCAAATTAGCAGAGTATACATTCTTCTCAGTACCAGATGGCACTTATTCTGAAATCGACCACATAATTGGAAGTAAAACACTCCTCAGCAAATGCAAAAGAGCTGCAATCATAACAAAAAGTCTCTCAGAGCACAGTGCAATCAAATTAGAGCTCAGAATTAAGAAATTCACTCAAAAAAGCACAACTACGTGGAAATTGAACAACCTGCTCCTGAATGACTCGTGGGTGAATACCAAAATTAATGCAGAAATAAGCTATTTGAAACCAATGAGAACAAAGAGACAACATACCAGAATCTCTGGAACATAGCTAAAGCAGTATTAACAGGGAAATTTATAGCACTAAATGCCTGTATCAGAAAACTTAAAGATTTAAAATCGACACCCTAAAATCACAATTAAAAGAAGTAGAGAAGCAAGACCAAAAAAATTCAAAAGCTAGCAGAAGACAAGAAATAACTAAGATGAGAGCAGAACTGAAGAAGATAGAGACATGAAAAACCCTTCAAAATATCAATGAATCCAGGAGATGTTCTTTTGAAAAAATTAACAAAATAGATATACCACTAGATAGGCTAAGAAAGAAGAAAAGAGAGAAGAATCGAATAGACACAATAAAAAATGATAAAGGGTTTTTCTCCACTGATCCCACAGAAATACAAACTGCCATCAGAGAATACTATAAACACCTCTACGCAAATGAACTAGAAAATCTAAAACAATTCCTAGACACATACACTCTCCTAAGACTAAACCAGGAAGAAGTTGAATACCTGACTAGACCAATAACAAGTTCTGAAAATGAGATAATAATTAACAGCCTGCCAACCAAAATCAGCCCAGGACTAGACAGACGCACAGCCAAATTCTACAAGAGGCACAAAAAGGAGCTGGTACCATTTTTAAAAAACTATTCCAAGCAATTGAAAAGGAGGGACTCCTCCTCAACACATTTTATGAGGCCAGCATCACCCTGATACAAAAAACTGGCAGAGACACAATAAAAAAAGGAAACTTCAGGCCAATATCCCTGATGAACATCAAAGTGAAAATCCTCAATAAAATACTGGCAAAACAAATCCAGCAGCACATCAAAAAGCTTATCCACCAAAATTAAGTCGACTTTATCTCTGGGATGCAAGAGTGGTTCAACATACACAAATCAATAAACATAATCCATCACATAAACAGAACCAATGACAAAAACCACATTATTACCTCAATAGATGCAGAAAAGGCCTTTGATAAAATTCAACATCCCTTCATGTTAAAAACTCTCAATAAACTAGGTATTGATGGAACAGATCTCAAAATAATAAGAGCTATTTATGAGAAACTCATAGCCGATATCATACTGAATGGGCAAAAGCTGGAACCATTCCCTTTGAAAACCAGCACAAGACAAGAATACCCTCTCTCACCACTCCTATTCAACATAGTATTGGAACTTCTGGCCAGGGCAATCAGACAAGAGAAATAAATAAAGGATATTCAAATAGGAAGAGAGGATGTCACATTGTCTGTTAGCAGATGACATGATTCTATGTTTAGAAAACCCTATCATTTTAGCCCAAAAACTTCTTAAGCTGATAAGCAACTTCAGCAAAGTCTCAGGATACAAAGTCAATGTGCAAAAATCACAAACATTCCTAAACACCAACAATAGACAAGCGGAGAGCCAAATCATGAATGAACTCCCATTTACAATTGCTACAAAGAGAATAAAATACCTGGCAATACAGCTTACAAGGGATGTGAAGGACCTCTTCAAGGAGAATTACAAATCACTGCTCAAGGAAATAAGACAAGACACAAAGAAATGGAAAGACATTCCATGCTCATGGATAGGAAGAATCAATATCATGAAAATGGCCATACTGCCCAAAGTAATTTATAGATTCAATGCTATTCCCATCAAACTACAATTGCCTTTCTTCACAGAATTAGAAAAAAATACTTTAAATTTCATATGGAACCAAAAAAAAGCCCATATAGCCAAGACAATCCTAAGCAAAAAGAATGATCCTAAGCAAGAAGAACAATCCTAAGCAAAAAGAACAAAGTCACATTACCTGACTTCAAACTTTACTACAAATCTATAGTAACCGACACAGCATGGTACTGGTACTGGTACAAAAACACACATATAGACCAATGCAACAGAATAGACCTCGGAAATAACACCACCCATCTACAGCCATCTGATCTTCAACAAACCTGACAAAAACAAGCAATGGAGAAAGGGTTCCCTGTTTAATAAATGGTGATGGAAAAACTGGGTAGCTATATGCAGAAAACTGAAACTGGACCCCTTTCTTACACCTTATACAAAAAATTAACTCAAGATAGGTTACAGACTTAAATATAAAACCACAAACCATAAAAACCCTAGAAGAAAACCTAGGCGATACCATTCAAGGCATAGGCATGGGAAAAGACTTCATGACAAAAACACCGAAAGCAATAGCAACTAAAGCCAAAATTGACAAATGGGATCTAATTAAACTAAAGCGCTTCTGCACAGCAAAAGAAACTTGCATCAGAGTGAACAGGCAACCTACAGAATGGGAGAAAAATTTTGCAATCTATCCATCTGACAAAAGTCTAATATCCAGAATTTACAAGGAACTTAAACGAATTTACAAGAAAAAAACAACCCCATCAAAAAGCGGTCAAAGGATATGAACAGACACTTCTCAAAAGATATTTATGTGGCCAAGAAACCTAGGAAAAACATGATATGATCATCACTGATCATTAGAGAAATACAAATCAAAAGCACAATGAGATACTATCTCACGCCAGTCAGAATAGCAGTTATTAAAAAGTCAGGAAACAATAGATGTGGGCAAGGCTGTGGAGAAATAGAAACACTTTTACACTGTTGATGGGAATTTAAATTAGTTCAACCATTGTGGAAGACACTGGTGATTCCCCAAGGATCTAGAACCAGAAATAACATTTGACCCAGCAATCCCATTACTGGGTATATACCCAAAATAATATAAATCATCCTACTCTAAAGACATATGCACAAATATGTTTGTTGCAGCACTATTTACAATAGCAAAGACTTGGATCCAACCCAAATGCCCATCAATGATATACTAGATAAAGAAAATGTGATACATATATACCATGGAATACTATGGAGCCATAAAAAAGAATGAGATCATGTCCTTTGCAGGGAGGTGAATGGAGCTGGAAACCATCATCCTCAGCAAATTAACACAGGAACAGAAAACCAAACACTGCATTTTCTCACTCATATGTGGGAATTGAACAATGAGAACACATGGACACAGAGAGGGGAACAACACACACCAGGGCCTGTCAGGGATTGAGGTAAAGGGGAGGGAAAGCATTAGGAAAAAATGCCTAATGCATGCAGGGCCTATAACCTAGATGACAGGTTAATAGGTGAAGCAAACCACCATGGCACATGTATACCTACGTAACAAACCTGCATGTTCTGCACATGTATCCCAGAGCTTAAAGTAAAATTAAAACAAGAAAAAAAAATTGTACTTTATACATCTATTTTCTAGGTAAACTGCTTTCTTTCCCTTTCCTTTATTTTGAAAACTATCTCAGTCTGCTAATATACCACTGAAATAAATGGAAATATCTTTCAGAAAAAAGAAAAAAGAAAAGTATAGCCATGAGAAACTACAGTGATTATATTTAAAAATTTGATTTTATGTAGAATTGTTTTTACAGTAAAGATGACTAATCAATTGAAGGGATTACAATGTAAATGATCTAATCTTTTAAGGAAATTTCAAAAACTGATTGGATGGTCAGTGGCATGAAATGGGGTGAATGCAGAGCTGACTATCACAGAGCCTATTAATATGAACCACATGATCATGCCTAAAATAATAGTAATAATGGTATTAATAATAACATGTATCCAGGTGCACCACAATCCAATATCAGTTCACAGGCTGAAGTTTCACTGAAAAATTACTGACATGAGGCAGATTGATTAATAGAAAAAAAGCATCCAAATTTATTTAATGTGTGTACATGGGAGCCTTTAGAATGAAGACCCAACTTCCCAGTCAGTAAGGTAGAGAAGCTTATATACCATCTTGAGGTTACAGAAAGAATGGGGGCTTGGATCCTGATAAAACAGGTCATGGGAGGGAGAGAAGAGAAATTCTATTGAGAGGCAATAAATGATTAGTAAGAAGGATTGGATCTGTGAACAAATTAACATGTTAATAGTTCTATCTGGAATTTAAATGCTCCTTGGGGACAGTCATTATCTTGGAAAGGGATCTGTTCAGGTGTGGTTATATTTTTGCTAATGGATAATGACATAAGAGGGAGGGGAACAAGAACAACTGTTCTCCTTGGGGGTCAGTCCTGTCTTTATGTACATAGGAGAAAAATCTCCTCTAGAGATTGTTGACCTCTAAGGATTTTTAATATAAAACTCTCATTATACCACACAACCATATTTGGGGAAAAATATGTTGATTTGACTATCTAATCAATGAATAGGGCCAGGAAGAAAGACTAAAAATTCTTATTTGTGAACCACAAACACAGAACCTCAGAAACTTTATTCTCATCCTCCAAGAAGTAATATTCCTTTGTAATTCAGTAATTCTTTCTCTTTCTCGCTGTCTCTCTGTTTTTTTTTTTTTTTTTTTTTTTTTTTTTTTTTTTTTTTTTTTTTTTTTTTTAATGAGACAAGGTTTCACTGTGCTGTCCAAGCTGGTCTTGAACTCCTGGACTCAAGCAATCTTCCCTTCCTCAGCTTCCCCAGATCCTGAGATTACAGGCATGAGCCACCATGCCTGGCCTGGTGATTCTCTTTAATGATTAAAAAGTCAAAAGTGAAATTGTAACTGCCCAGTGAGTTATTCATGTCCGCTGCACAGACAAAATCAATCCACTGAGACCATAACATTGCAGTAAAGAAAGAGTTTGATTGACATAAGGTCAGCCACACCACCAGGAGACAGAATTTTACACAAATCAATCTCACTGAAGGCTCAGAGGTTAGAGTTTTTTTCCAAAGATAGTTTGGTGGGCCGGGCACTAGGGGAATGGGTGCTGCTGATTGGTTGGGGATGCAATCATAAGGGTGTGAAAAATGGTCCTCATGTGCTGAGTCCATTTCTGAGTAAGGACCACAGAGGAGTCACTGGTCTGAGTGGGGCCATCGAGTCATCAGAAATGTAAAAGCCTGAAAAGACATCTCAAAACATCAATCGTAGGTTCTACAATAGTAATGTTATTTATAGGAGTAATTGGGGAAGTTGCAAATCTTGTGACCTCCTGAATACTGGCTAGTAATCATTTAACTGCACTTACGTCTTAAGTAGAATTCAGGCCCATCGCATCCTCCTAACCTGATGCCCTTTCATTAGTTTTACAAGGGTGGTTTGGTTTGGGGAAGAGCTATTATTTAAACTATTAACTAAATTTCTCTCAAAGTTAGCTTGGCCCAGGCCCAGGAATGAGCAAGGACAGCCAGCCTGTGAGGCTAGAAGCAAGATGGAGTCAGCCATGGCAAATTTCTCTTACTGTCATAATTTTGCAAAGGCAGTTTCAAAATAATGTGACACTAACCCTACTGCTTGCCCACTCTTCTGGGACTTATTTCTCTATCACATTCCCTGGCTGTTCACACACACACACACACACACACACAACACAATGTGCAAATCAGGCAGAGAGCAGCACACTCTTGCTCATTAAGAGATGACAAAGACCTGCAGCAGAATGTCCAGTGGAGCGAAGTCTAAGCTAACAGACTGAATAAATATTCAGTGTGCTCCAAAATCCTGATTATCAGGACAAGAGCTAGAATATCTAATGCACAAGTAGGCTCAATTAACCCTAATTAGTTCAGAGTCAGGCTACAAAAGACTTAATTAGCAGTTATTAGGTGCTGCTCAGAAAAGGAGCATAAATAATTGTTGGTAGCAAGCTGTGTTTAAGAGTCTCCTAGCTGAGTGACATAAAATTTTTAAAAAAGTAAAATCAATGTTCCTCTATTAGGGATTAAATTTAAAATAATAATATGGGTATTGACTTAAATTTCATTTATTCGGTGTGGATCATTGACTCAATTTTATTTTTTCTGGACAACTTGGATGCTTCAGGAGAATTTCAGGAGGAATTTGAATGTTCACTTCTAATGGTGTGATGGTTACAGTCTACCACAAAGAGAAGGACACCTGCTGTTGGGATGATGAGTGGCCAGCAGAGATCAGAGGGATAAATGAAAGGTTTTCCTTGAGCATTTCTAGAGTTAGCCTCTGGAGGGTCTCACACAGTGAAAGGCCAGGGAAGAAAGATTGATAAAGAAAGAGAGCAGAGAAACTGAGTTACGATGAACACGAAGTTAAGCTAGTGACCAAAATCAACTCTGAATTGTCCAAGCCTGAATCCTGGCTGTATAGCAAATTGGGTTCCTTTAGTCTAGTGCAAATTCTTTCTTCTTTCTGGCCCCATTTATTCATCAACATTGTTTCTCACAGGAGCCAAAAGTTAAAGACCCCCTTCTGAAAATTCACTTGCATAAAAAATGTACAATGACCAGATTAAGATTGAAAAACAAAGGTAAAATTGACAGGATAGATGGCTCTCCACCAAATTGCCCTCTCTCTCTCTCTGAGGCTTTCTCAGAGAGGCAGAATATTATAACATTTCTCTTAAGTTTTGTAATATCCTACATAAAACATGGGCTCTACATGAGTGAAACTTAGAATATATTTTAGAACACTACAGGGTTCTTATATTTTAATGCATCTTTATTTAACATGACTATAAATGTTATTGCTCATAAAACTATTCAGCCTTGTCATAAATTATTTCGTAGAGGAATACTGTTTGTAGATGTAAACACAGAAAAGCTGTCTTTAAAGAGTCTACTTAAATCAACCATTAATTTCATATGATAACCACCTTCTATTTAAAAAAAAAAGTGCCAAGGGACAATCTCGGAAGAATGGAGGTGTATTAGTTTTGTATTGCTGTGTGATAAATTACCACAAATTTAGCAGCTTAAAACAACACTCACTTATTAGCTCACAGTTCTATATGTCAGAAGCCCTGGTTGATTTCACTGGGCTGTCAGAAAATCAAAATTAAGACGCTAGTCAGGTTGGGTTCTTATCTGGAGGTTCCGGAAGAATCCTTTTCCAAATTATCCAGGCTGTTTTCAGAATCTAGTTCCTTGTGGCTGTAGGCCTGAGGTCTTCATTTCCTTGCTGACTGCTAAAGCAAAGGCTGCCTTCTTCTCCCAGAGACTGCTCATATGCCTTCTTTCATGGCCCCACCACCTTCAATGCATCAATTACACACCATGTCCTTATTCTTTCAATGTCTCTGACTTCTCCTGATGCTTCAGCTGGACAAAACTCAACTGCTTTTAAAAGTCTCAGGTAATCAGCTTGGGCCCACTTGGAAACCCCTTTTGATTACTCAAGTTCATTTGATTAGTAACCTTAATTACCTCTCACAAGAATCCTTTTTGCTACGTGACCTAACGTAATCATGGGCATGATATCTCGTCATATTCATTGTCTTAGGGATGAAAGCTCAATTTTTCCTGTATCTACACATAGTACCCTGCTGAGGGCAGAGGGCGGCAGTGGTCACTAGGCTGCAGAAGGAGAGGGAGGCCATCAGGGTACTGCCAAGGGGTGGGAGAGAAGGTGGCTGAGAATATATCCTGGGGACATAGGGAGACATTGGGAGGTAGGCTGCACATAAATCAAGACTTCAAGCTTCCAGCACATGCTGTATTGGCCCATTGGACTTTACTTACAAAACACAAATTCAGAGATACAATTATTACGAATTTCAAGATGGCAACTGCAGAATATTAAAGCCCAGTAGGGATCTCCTTTCTCAGTGTAGAGCTCTGTGAGACTTATACCCATGAAGTTGACCCTGGAAATAAGCACTATATAAGTGACTGCTGATGTGTTTTTAGTAGTAATAGTAATATTTTGTAGACAGCAGACACTGAAAAGGCAAAAAGTCTGGTTGCTTCAAAATATCTGTGCTATTCTTATTTTGTACAAGCTGACCTAAAAATCAGGCCTGATACAGAGACATCTTACATTCCATGATGCTTTTCCAAAGGGCTGTGTATAAGCACTTCAAACCATTGACTTATGAAAAATGGTGGAAGTGATACTGACATTCTACATGATATAAACTCTCCTGCTTATCTACTTTTTCTGTTGTTCTGGGTATTGTTCTAACTCTCTAGTTGGAAATCTGGCTCATTTTACCATCACTGAAATTAATTAAAAATAAATCAAACTTACATTCATTCTATTTTTTTAGCTTACCATACAATTCAATTCAAATTCAATTTTATTACAGAATAAGTTATGAAAATTGCATGTAGTTTTTCCTTTTTTCCCCTTTCTTTGCTGTCAAATCGACTATAGATGGTACAGGCTTAATCCCAAGGAAACTAATAAAGTGAATTGTTCACACAATTACATATTATTTTCCTATTACGCAGAACTCTCTCTGGGCGCCCAATGCTCCGTGATTGACTGATCTGTGAAGCCAGAATCCTCTCTGCTTTTGAGCTTTGAGTATTCAGTCATCTCTAAATTTTTGACAAGGCTGTTTAAAGAGTGGTGTGACTGCATCATAAGACCACTCACAAACTGCGACATATGCTTTGTTCTGTGTGGGGAAAAATTAGCATCATTTACAAAAGGAAAAGAAAAAAACCACACACATACACACACACTCCAAAATTCTTTAAGAGTGGTGAGCTGAGGCAAATATGATATATATTGGAGAGAGATGGATCTGGGCTCTTGGCTAATATAAAATGATGAATCAAAGGGCATCAGTGACAGCAGACAGTGGGCCTAACTATCTCCAGAGGGGGGGCATTCAGATATTCGATCTTCTCCAGGCTATCATGTGAGTTTTCAGAGTGCAACAGGAGTCTCGAGTTTCACCAGGAGGCCACGGTGTCAATACAGAGCCAAGCCAATCCTACTCTTCGGGTGCTAGGAGACTTGCTTAAATAAATCTGGTCCCTTTTTCAGTTGCATAGCTCTATTCTAAAACTTGAACTACTCCTAATGATACCTTTGTGACTCCAAACACCATAAGCCAGTGTTGATAGTTGATCAACACCATTTGATTTCATTATATTACTGTTGATAGAGCACTTTATGTGGAAAGCATTATGACAAAGAGACAGTGTCATGTGACGGTTAACAACTAGGCTTTTCCAGCTGTGGAACCTGAGACAAGTAACCAAATCCCTGTATGCAATAAACTCCTCATGCATATCATGGTGAGAATAACCATAAGGATTGAGTACAAATAGTTTACTTCTGAGATGATCCCAGGAAACATTGGAAAGGGAGCTAGGGAGTGAAAAGAGGAAAGGTAACCAAGGAAGGATGGCCTAGAAAGTAGTTATTGTTGTGATACCTGGAGCAAAGACAGAGTCTCCAAGTGTGGTTTGTGGTTGACTCACCTCAGCATCACATTGGCATTAGTTATAAATGCAGATTCTCAGGCCCCACTCCAGACCCACTGAATTAGAAGCCCTGCATGTGGACCCAGCAAACTGGTCTAACAACCCTGCAGGTGATGTTGATGCACACTCAAATTTGAGAACTAATGAGCTAGAGAACTCTGGGAGCTGGGAGTTGTGCAGAATAACTTTCTCAGAGCTATCTCACCAAGGGGAATATGTTGCTGGGATATTTATATGCCAATTCCCATCAGTAATTATGGAGGGCTGTTAAAAAGAAGACATTGGAAAGAAACATTAATTCTCCAGCACTTTAGTCTGTGATGCCCTTGAGCTGAGTGGATTCTGAAGTAAACCTTTGGCAAGGAGGTGTGGGTCCTGCAGCTGGAGTCCTGGGAGCATTACAATAGCCAGGCCCACAGGCATATGACGGGGACATCAATGGTGTCTTAAGGATTGAGATAATGCAGTAAAGGGCATATCATAGTGCCTGGCACAAAAATCCTTTGTGTATTAAAATCTAAAAGTAATACAAAGATCAACTAGCTGGGATGCCTGCCCTCAAAGAGTAGATAATTTACAAAGACAGTTAGGACACAAAGACATGAGTAGGATCTAAAGCAGATGCAATAAATGCTATGCGTGATGGAGGTGCAGAAGGGAGAGATCCTATTGGATTATAGGGGGAATAAAGGCACTTTGAATCAGTGGCATCTGAGAAGGGAGGGGTAGGCTTTTTGGCAGGCTCTGATGAAACAAGAGGGCTCATTTAACTGCAAAGAAAGACACAGGTCGCTGTGTTAGCTGCCTCATCATCACTGGAACTCAAGTACCTGTTGAATCTGAGATGCCACATATCCATTAACAAAATACAAAGAACTTCTGTGGCTAACAAATTTGAAGTGTAAGGATGCTGAAGGTTAGGGTTTCCCTGCCACATCACATCTCCACCTGGCTCACTAATTTTTTTTTGGGGAAAGAATTAAGGCTCACTGGTTTGCAAAACACAAAACATGTTTCAACTAACCCCACTGATGTGATGCTTTCCTGGGGATTGTATGGAAATGAGAGAGTGCTGATTTCATTTTTTTCAGTAACATTATTACCATTATAACATCACTTTTATAGTCTAAAGCATAGCTGCCAATATGTCCTATGAAAATTTTAGTCATGTTAAGTTAAAAAAAATAATTACTTCTGAAAAGGTGAGTGTAGTGGAGCGAAGAAGTAAGTTGAGTAGCATGAATACAAAATTCTACATTTTTGAGTATTATGTTGCTGGAATCCCTGACCTCACAGCAAACTGCATTCCCTGACTCTGGCTATTTTACTTCCCAGATTTTCTTTGTCCATCCCTCCTCAAGAAAGCAGCCCCTTAGGTTTCAATTCCCCCTGATGCATGCTACATTCTGATGCACCTCCAGTGCCTCGCTCTTCTTTCCCTTTCATCGGCTCAGTGATAACAATCCATTACTAACCAAGTATTGAGGCTCTCCTACCTTTTTACGAATAGAGTTTTTTTTTCTTAATTTTCGTTTTTCTTAATCTTCGAGAACATTAGTAAGAATAAAACTAAGGAAGAGAAAAGAGGGGTCAGCAATTACGTGTTAAGCAATGGAATGGACGGACTTTAAAGATTTGATGAGAACAAGGAAGAGAACTTCCTGCCAGCTGGGCTCTCCTCCACAATGTATTTTCCAGCACACTGTGTAGAGCTGTGTGTGTGTATGTGTGTGTGTGTGTGTGCGCTTACACAATGTGGAATTCATTAGTAGAACTTGCTCTAAAAATTGTAGACCCCCTAATAGGGTTCTTGTTTAAACCTTTAAGTGTTAAAAGTATTTAGTGGTGGTGAATCTCAAGGTGTGGATTGCAGTGCCTGAGGTATTGTAAAGCATATATTTGTATGGTACTTTTTCTTTACGGGTGGGCTTGCCAGCACCATATGAACCAAATTCTCCAAATTGTGGACAAATAAAACATTCTTGTATTATAAACTAAGAAACAAGGTTCTGGGAATAATTTAGAGGACATTGCAAAATACCTTTTCCATTAGCTCAAGATTAAATGTTATGCTAAGATTTTTTAAGTGTACATAAAGCATGTAAATATCAGTTGCTTGACTCACTGGTCACCTCTTAGGCTGATTTAATATTTTATGAAGCCTTGAGTACTCATACATAACTTTATAATTTATTTCTCCAATGTTCCCCCAAGGGAAGCCTTTACCACAGGCAAAACAGTTGGACATTAGGAGTATTTGTTATTTGAGTCAAGTCAAAAGGTGAACTGAGAGGAATGGGTCTAACAGTTCCATTACAGAATTTTAAATCAGTGCTTGTCTCTCCATGGTGGGATGTAGGACATGCTACCCCAACATATAGCACCCTGGAGGTCACACTCTTACCTTGCCTGCCTTTCTGTGTAATAGTATTACATAAAGTAATTCTCAGAAAGCACAGTGGCTCACACCTGTAATTCTAGCTACTCAGGAGGCAGGAGAGTCACTTGAGCCCAGGATTTCAAGACAATGAGTTATCATTGCACTCCAGCCTCAGTGACCCATCTCTTTAAAAAAAAAAGAAGGAAAGAGAGAGAGAGAAAGAAAGAAGAAAGAAAGAAAGAAATATTCCCTGTGCTGTTAATGAAATTTCTAACCCAACTAAAGAAAGAAAGAAAGACAGAAAGAAAGAAAGAAAGAAAGAAAGAAAGAAAGAAAGAAAGACAGAAAGAAAGAAAGAAAGAAAGAAAGAAAGAAAGAAAGAATTATCTGACTTACCTCCCATGCAAGTAAAAGTGGGTCATAAAACCTTTATGTAACGGGTGCCCTGTCTTATACTTGGAGGAAAGAAATGAAGACACAGAGATGCCAAGAAAAAGCTGAAAAAAAAAAAAAAAGACCTTGCTATGTTCCCCCCAATTTTTTACCATTAGATCCTACTTTTTTGTCTAACCATGCCTCTTTTGAGACAGAGTCTCAATCTGTTGCCCAGGTTGGAGGGCAGTGATGCGATCTTGTCTCACTGCAACCTCTGCCTCCTGGGTTCAAGGGATTCTCCTGCCTCCCGAGTAGTTGGAATTACAAGTGTGCATCACCACACCAGAGTAATTTTTGCAGTTTTAGTAGAGACAGGGTTTTTCCATATTGGCCAGGCTGGTCTCGAATTCCTGTCCTCAAGTGATCTGCCCACCTCGGCCTCTCAAAGTGTTGGGATTACAAGCATCAGCCACTGCACCTGGCCTGTCCAACTACACCTCTACACAACTGTTCATGCTTCATCAAACTTAAGCATAAAAATACAGTTTTCCCTGGGTCTTTGGCTCTTCATCTCTGAAGGCCGTAGTGTCATGTGAAACTTTGGCTAAATAAATTTATCATACTTTTCTCTTGTTAACCTGTCTTTTGTTATAGGGATTTCAGCCATGAAACTTTCAGTGGCAGAGGAACAGATATTACTTCTTCTCTCCTATATTCCCAAAGAATCCAGCCCATTGTAGAGATTGAATGGCATTTGAGAATAAAGAGTAGAGTTCAGTAGACAAATCAGAGATTAAGGATAAAGAAAGTACAATCTATCTGCAATCCTGTAAGTATCTGGATGTGGAAAATAAAATGCAGTATCTTTCAAGCATACCATACATTTTTTCATTTCCCTCATTTAACATGTACTTATTGAAGAATTTCTAATATACAAAGCTAGGTACTGTAGGGGGTATAAAAGGAATTAAGAAATGCATTTGCCTATGAATAGATTATTATTTATTATAGTTGTGCAGGATAAAGCTAGCATTTATACTATGTGACAAGTGGTAAGCAGTTCATAAAGGTATGCATTTAGTCTACTACTATATATTGGAGATGAAGGAGGGTATGGAAGAAAGAGACAGGTAATTTTAGTATAAAAGGTGATTTTATGGGATCAGGAATTTGACAAATTTTAAGCTGTATTATGCTAACTAGATAGGCTTACCAGGTGTCATAGGGAAGGCCCCAGTGTGGCAAATGTAATGTGTATTGACCTGGCTCTCTGAACAGGCTGTCACAATGAGAACTGGGTGCTAGTTCACAGGATACCAGTGTTTGCAGCTTTATGGAAGCAGTACAAGTCAACATTCTGTCACTTTACTTTGGTGGTATTAGAAACCGATCTACTTAATGTACAGTGTAACTCCAGTTATAAAATTTTAAACAGGATACAAATTTTATTCTTTTTTCTTTCATGGACACTCATAAAAATATTCCCTGTGCTGTTAATGAAATTTCTAACCCAACTAAATTATGCAATATGCAACACTGCCATGCAAATTCAGTTTTTTTTACCTACAATAAGAGCACTTACAGTCTACATTTAGGCAACACTAATGTATTGCTAGAGCTAGCAAAAGGATATAAATTACATATAGTGCCTATCCTTCTCCCTTAACTCATTCTATTATATTTAGCCATCATAATGATGATGGCAAATGGAGCTAGTGTTATCTAAAAGCTCAACTGGGCTGGATGTTCATGATGGCCTTTTAACTCACACGTCTGGTGCCTCACTTGGGATGCTTGGAAGAGTTGGTAGTAGTCTGGGTATTTTCTTTATTCATATAGCCTCTCTACATGGCTAGCTACTTGGGGTTTCCTTACAGCAGGGAGTTCTCAAGATAGATTCTTATATGGTGAGTGGTTTTCCCTGAACATGTATTTCAAGAGACTAATGCAGAAATTTCATGGCATTTTTATTTTTACCTCGTCTTGAAATTAACCCAATACCACCACACAGGACCTGGGAACTATGGTTCATGGGGGGTGAGGGGTTTCCTTTTTGGAGACTAATGACTGCATTTGTCATTATTGAAATATGTCATTGCTTGACTTTGGTAGACTCTTGTTATAACCACTTCAATGACATAGTCAACAGAATTTAAAATCCACTTTCAAAAGAGTATCTAGAATAATAATTTGAAATCTGCATTAGAGTCTACCCAGCAATTTAACCAATTATTTAGTTATTGAATATTCATTATCTGCTGTGCACTGGAGACTGTGCTGGATACTGGTGAATTCTCATAGGTAAATTGGGTAGATACCTGAGGAAATTGAAGCTCAGAAGATTTGAATAGAAGTGGATTGACCTCCCCAACGCAGCTGAGTCAGGTGCCCATACAATGCAGTAACATCAAGAATACTTACTGATATAAGAAACAAGACAAAAAACCCAGAAATCTTGTCAAGGATTTCCATAAATAGGACTTAAGGCATATGCTGTAATGTGCTTTGTAGTTTGACACTGAAAACTCGAGTGATGGATTTGTTATGTTTAGTAAAAAAAAAAATCCTTGATATTGTCTCTTAAAATATAACTCAATCCAAACCACACTTACAAGTATTGTGCTAAATGACAGGGGTTCTAAAACTTTCCAGAGTGCCAGAATCACCTATAGGGCTTGTTAAAGCACAGGTGGCTGGGTCCTATCCCCAATTTCAGATTCAGTAGGTCTGGGATGGGGTCCAAGCATTTAAATTCTATCAAATTCCCAAGTCAGGTTGAGGCTGCTGCTAAAACAACCATACTTTGAGAGGTACTGCTGAATGGTGTTGAAGAAAGCCAGAGATGAACAGAGGTTGAAGAGGTGAAGATAGATTTATTAAAAAAAAAAAAAAAAAAAAAAAAAACTATTGCAATAGGGGATGAGAAACTCCAGTGTAGAATTGGACATAATTCCAAAGACAATCACAACAAGTGGGGATTTCTAACTGTATTAGCCTGTTCTCAGGTTCTTGGGTATGTCTGCTATTAGGACATACCCAGGACTGGGTAATTTATAAAGGAAAGAGGTTTAATAGACTCACAGTTCCACATGGCTGAGGAGGCCTCAAAATCATAGCAGAAGGCAAAGGAGGAGCAAAGGCATGTCTTACATGGTGGCAGGCAAGAGAGCGTGTGCAAGGGAACTGCCCTTTATAAAACCATCAGATCTCATGAGACTTACTCAGTATCACAGGAATAGCATGGGAAAAATCCACCCCCATGATTCAGTTACCTTCCACCAGGTTCCTCGCATGACATGTGGGGATTTTGGGAGCTACAATTCAAGATGAGATTTGGGTGGGGACACAGCGAAACCATATCAATAACCAAGGAATAAGATGAGGAGGTAGGGCACTGGTGGGTCATCAAGGCTGCGAGGACTTCTGGCTGAACTGACCTAACAGAATTCTTGCTGCAGGAATGCTAGGGTAATTTGATATCATCTGGGGATAGCAGGGATGAAGAGTTTAATCAGGGACCAGCTATTGAGGGTGGGGAATTCTCACCAAACGGACTTAGCAAGATTTTTGCTAAAACTGAACTCTACAAGGAAGTACACAAATTTTCATTTTTAGAGAGAGGGTTCAGGGGAGCTGGACTCAGATTTGATCAAACAGAGTCTTTGTCAATGGTTATCCACAGTGGAGAACAGTGGTGAAAAACAGATATGAAATCAAACAAGACCTCCAGTAAGCCTTAAGCATGTTAATCTTTTTAGCTTAGTTTCCTGGTCTTTACAGTGTGAATAATTAATATTAGCTACTGCCTAAGATTGTTGTGTGGATAAATTATATACAGCGAAAGCTAAATAAATGTTCATCATACTAATAATTATAATCCCATAAAGGATGTAGTCCAATTCTCATGCATCTTACCTGAGGGGCTGTTGTATATTTTGTGTCATGTACATTGGATTTCCCGCAGTCACCTTCCAGACTATAAAGCTGACCACTCAGCTCAGTGCCTTTCCCTGGCAACTTCGGAAGGGAAGAACTATTAGAGATTTCTGACAATCTGTCTTCTCCCTTCTATATAGTGCATAAAATCTAGAAGTTAGGTATTTAAAATAATCTACAGGCTCAAAAATAAATCTTACTGTTTTCAAGTTAACCTCCTCCTGGGGTTGGTATTAAAAAAGAATTAGGTTTGCATTTGTTGAGCTTTGCAGGATGCCCTGATAATGCCTCAGCAATCAAAATGTAATTATAAAATAGGGATGTTTAAATTGCCAAATATATATATATATTTTTCTATTCAGTCTGAACTATAACAGTCAAGCATGTGAGTGCATTAAGGTGAAGATGACGGACCAAATTCCAAATAACTTAGTAAGCTTTGTGGTTAAATGCAGGGTAGTAGGTAACAATAACAAAACACCCAATAATAAATAAATCACAGCATATTTTCTTGATTATCTATAAATGTCATAACCCTTGCTAAAAGGACTTTCTTCTCCAATAACATAATCCTTGCTGTGAGGCTGCTGGGAGTAGATAGGATGGAAATGCAATCCTTCTGCTCTTTTTTTCATCGTACCATGGCTTCACCCACTGGGTCCCACTCAGTTTCTTCTGTGTGTCAGTGTACCTACCCATACTATATTAAAATTTTTGAACATATTGCAAAATAAAAAATCTCAAGGCTCACAAACTTCTTATACAAAAGGAAAGGTTAAGCTGAGAGACTGAGTCATGCAACACTCTCTTACAAACAAACGAGCAGTGGTTACTAACATTACACGTTTAGCAGATCCCTACAAAAGGTAAAAGGCCTCAGGGATCTAGGAAGGACTGCCCCCACAGATCATCCATAAGTAAATTCTTTGCTGGTCTCCCTAAACAAGGACATGCCAATTATAACTTTAGGTCTACAATCCAAGTCTAGCTCCTGAAACTAAAGTCTGTTTGATTCCACATAGATAATGTTGTCTTCCCAGGTGCAGGACAAAGACTAGACTAATTCTTCCACCTTCCAAGAGAGGTCTGCATAATTGATTCTTCTTTTACTGCCTTTTTCTCTTCAAACATTCACCTTCTCTTATGTAAAATATAGCTAGATTTACTGAATACTAACCAAGGTCTCACAAGAATGTAACCATTCATCTTGCATCTTACTTGCCCCTCTGCCTACCTGCCTTTCCTCCATTTAAGGAAACGTATACGTACTAAACCTCCTGAAAACTTCTTCAGAAAAACAACCACAGGGCTGGGCATGGTGGCTCACACCTGTACACCTGTAATCCCAGCACTTTGGGAGACCGGAGTGAGAGGATCCCTTGAGCCCAGGAGTTTGAGACCAGCCTGGGCAATGTGGTAAAACTTCATCTCAACAATAAATACAAAAATCAGCTGGGCAAGGTGGCATGCACCTGTAGTCCCAACTACTCAGAAGGCTGAGGTAGGAGGATCCCTTGAGCCCAGAAGTTTAAAAGTGTAGTAAGCCATCATCATGCCAGCCTGGGTGACAGAGCAAGACCCTTCTTAAACAATAGCAACAATAAAAAGAAAGGAAGAAAAGAAAAAAGAAATACAGCCATAGATGTCTCTGTGGTTCCTATTTTTCCTGGACATGCTTTAATGCTGGCTTAACAAAATTCAATGATTCAGACCTTTGCCTCAGTCACTCATTTTGGTTGCCATTATTCTTTGTCGAACAACAGTGAAGCAAGATGCTCAGTAGAAAAAGTTCCCAATAGTCAAAAGAGTTTTAGAAAGCAAGCCCTACCTTCTTTGAGTCAAGACATGTATTAGCGGTTGAAAGACTCAGAATCCTTATTGCAAAGAAACTAATGTTTTTCAACTATGCTAGATCATGGATATTTCATAGCAAATGAATGGCCACAGACTACACTTTTTGGGGAATGCCACCCCAAGTTCTAATTGTCTCACATTTAATAGGTTGTAGAAGTTCATGAACTGTCTTCAAGGTTTCTTTTTCCTGCAAAATTATCATTTAAAAATGTGGCAAAATAAAGGCATCCCCCCAAAAAAAACGAGGAAAATTATTTGCTAGTATATCTGTCCCACCAGAAAGTCCAATGGACTGAAAGCAAATGACACCAGATATTAATTCAAATACACAAGAAGGAGTGAAGAGCAGGAAAATGACCAATGTGTGGGTAAGTATAGAATACTCTTACTATATATGTTTTTTTCTCATAATTTCTTAAAAGTACCCATAAGATTGTTTAAAGCAATGATTATAACACTGTATTACTATGCAATATATATGACAATAATTGCAGAAAGGAAGTAGGGGAATGGAGCTATATTTTTTTAGAATGAGGTCAGTATTAATCTGAAGTATATTGATACATTTAGCAACCCCTGGAGTGAGCCACTCTGAAATTTAATTTAAAAATTAATGGCTATCTCAAAGTAAAGTAAACTACTTTGAGTAACCTTAAAGTAATTTAAATGGTTTACCAAAAAATATTGGTCTAGCACAAAAAAGGCAGTAAAAAAGAAACAGTGAAACCACAAGAAAAATAAGGAGACGTATGGAAAGCAAATAGCAAAATGACAGACATAAATCCAACCATATTGATACTTACATTAAATATGAATGAACTAAAGATTCCAGTCAAGAGACACAGATCATCAGACTAGATTAAAAAAAAAAGAAACAAGTTCTAATGATATGCCTTGTGCAACAGACATAATTTAAATTGAAAGGCACAGACAGATTGAAATTTAAAAGATGGAAAATGATATACATGCAAACGGTAACCAGAAGAAAGCTGAAGTACCTATATTAAAAGAGTGGTGGAATAGTTTCATTTTAAGATCTATATTATAAAATGCTGGAAACTATTTTCTTTGCAAATGTTTAAACATATAATTGAAAATCTATTAATAGATGTATTATTAAAAAGTACAATGGGATACAATATTTTTAAAAATATATTTTTTTACAGGCTATAAAAGTAAAAATGTTTGAAGTCAGCTTTTCTACACAAATGTGTTCATTGTAGACAGAAATACACTAAGCCTCATGGGATTCTGATTTATTCAAATTTATACAATTTATAGCAAAGTAAATATTAGAAGCTCTACTCTGTCTATGTCCTGTACTTCTTATGCATTTTAAAGAGGCACATAGGATAATGATTAAGTTCATGGATTTTAGAGCTACATTTAAAAAATTCTGACACCAGCCCTTGTCAGTTGTGTGGCCATGGAAAGTTTTCTTAACCTCTCTGTGCCTCAGTGAACTCATCTATAAAATGAGAAAAATAATGGCATGTACTTCATAGAAATTTTATGAGGTAATGCATATAGCGTACTTAGAACCATACCTGGTACATGATAAGTACTCTATAAATGTGAGGTTTTTTTTATTATTATTATTTTTTACTCACTCTGTTGCCCAGGCTGGAGTGCAGTGGTGCAATCTCAGCTCACTGCAACCTCCACCTCCTGGGTTCAAGCAATTCTCCCTGCCTCAGCCTCCTGAGTAGGTGGGATTACAGGCACCCACTAACACGTCTGGCTAATTTTTGTATTTTTTAGTAGAGACAGGGTTTTGCCATGTTGGCCAGGCTGGTCTTGAACTCCTGACCTCAGGTGATCCTCCTGCGTCGGCCTCCTAAAGTGCTGGGATTACAGGCGTGAGCCACCGTGCCTGGCCGTGAGTTTTTATTCAGAGCTTTGAAATGTTCAGTTGAATGTCAACAGACAAATCATGGTCACATCTGCCAGCACATTTCCACAATGCAGGCGCAGATTTCAGTGCTCCTGACTCAGATGTTGAATCTACATCTGGACATCAAGTCATTTTAGTAGTCAGCATTAGAGAGACTGAGTTGCAAAGAGGAAGCACTGAAGAGAAAGTCTTGCTAACAAGATAATAGGTGCTGAACTCAGCAACTTTTGCTGTTATTGCTGATGAAGGGGAGACAGTGCAAAATGTGAGATGTGGGACACCCAGAGGAAAGTCAGAAGGACGCACAAAACTTATGGCTTGCTAGAAGACTAGAAATGGAATACTAGGTCTGCAGTAAGGCCAGATGGCAACTCACTGACCTCTGAAATTCTCCTTGTAACAAACAGCCTTTTTTCTAGCCCTCTGCTGCCCTCCTCCCTCCCTAACATCTATGTGCCTGGTTCACAGTCCCCCAGACACAAGCCACGTTCTCTTGCCTCGGTGCCTTTGCTCACACGGATGACCTGTCCTGAAATGCCTCTCATTCTCTTAGTACTTTTCATCTCCCACCTTTCGCCCTGCTTAATAGGGTGCAATTCATTCAGCTGAGGACTTAATATGTCCTGAACCTGGGATTGTGCACTCAGATTACAAGTTCACCCAATTTTAGGATCAAGTGTGAGAGAATGCCCTTATCACACTTGATTTTGATTGTCTACAACTAAAGGTGGGCACAGGTGTTCTGTGAGTGCAGACAAGAGTCTTACCCAGCCTGGGGGTGATCCGCAACCACCTCCTGAATGGTTTGGTGAGTTGTAGTTAATTCTATAAATAAAGGGGAGAAGTAAAGGTTATAACACATGCAGAGGTCAGACAGGAGAGTGTGGTATGTTCATTACCACTGGAAAACAGAGCACTTGGTGTCAAAGTAAACAAAATGGAGCTGAAGTGGTGGGAATGGGCCAGTTCATGAAAGAGCTTAAAATGATGGATGCTTGCTAAGGAATTTGTATTTTATTGTGACAATCATGAGAAGCCATAAATAATTTTAAGCAGTACAATAATTTGATCAGATTTGTATTTCAGAAAGAGAGCTTTGACAGCAATATGAAGAATAAATGGATTAAAAGAATGGGGATGATAATAAAGTCAGTAATTCATTTAGGAGGCTATTAAAAAACATCAATAGAGGAAAGATAAGGACCTAAACTATGGCAGTAATGATGAGAAAGGGAAAACTGAATCAATTTGAGAGACACTCTGGGAAAAATCTGTGTTCCTTGAGATGTAATTGGATATGTAAGATGAGGCAGAGAGTGAAATGCAAGATGACTCTCAAATTTTTGCTTTAGTAGCTGCAGAGATGGCAGCACCACACTCCTGAGAGTGTATATTGCAAGTGGAATAAGATAATAAGACCGTACTTGAGCATGTTACATTTAAAGTTCATTTATTGGACAGGCATGGTGGCTCATGCCTGTAATCCCAGCACTTTAGGAGGCTGAGGTGGGTGGATCATTTGAGCCCAGGTGTTCAAGACCACCCTGGGCAACATGGCGAAACCTCGTCTCTACAAAAAAATTAACCAAGCATGGTGGCATGTGCCTGTAGTCGCAGCTACACAGGATGCTGAGGTGGGGGGCTCACTTGAGCCCTAAAGGTTGAGGCTGCAGTGAGCTATGATTGTGCCACAGCACTCCAGCCTGGGTGACAGAGTGAGATCCTGTCTCAAAAAAAAACACAAAACATTAATTTGCTTATTCATTCAAAAATATTTGTAGAGAACCTCCTAGATGCCAGAGAGTACATTAGGCACTTGGCATGCAGCAGTGGATAAAACAAACAGAAATTTCTTTCCTCTTGAAGCTCACTGCAGTAGGATATCTGTGGACATCCCAGTAGGTGATGGAATTGGTTCTGGAGCCTAGATGAAAGATTGGAAGCCAGGTATGGCGGCTCACGCTTATAATTCCAGCACTTTGGGAGGCCGAGGGCAGCAGATCACTTGAGGCCAGGAGTTTGAGACCAGCCTGGATGGAAATATGGTGAAACCTCATCTCTACTAAAAATACAAAAAATTAGCCAGGTGTAGTGGCACATGTTTGTAATCCCAGCTACTTGGGAGGCTGGGGCAGGGGAATTGCTTGAACCTAGGAGGCAGAGATTGCAGTGAGCTGATATTGCATGACTGTGCTCCACCCTGGATGACAGAGTGAGACTCCATCTCAAACAAACAAAAAACAAGAATAGGCTTTTGTAGTTCAAAAAACAAAATCAAAACAAAACAAACAAAAACTTATTGTACCAAGATGCAATTTAGCAGAAACATTTAGTTTAGCAGCAGTATTTAAGCTAATGTGGGTAAGAACATTCATATAATCATCAAAACAGCTAATGACAACATACCCTGCAAGGTGAGTAGATATGTGGCACTAGGATTCAGGTTATGATGCCACTCTCACCTAGAGAAGGCTGTATACCACACTTCAAGTGGGATATAGACAGACTGGAGGACATGTAGAAAAGAGTGACACAGAGGGTGGAAGAACTCACAATTACCTCTAATGAGGAAGGGTTTGATCAAGTTGGAGTGGTTAGCCTGCAAACGCAGATAATGACAATGGTCGTCATATGGCTTGCTCTATTATAGCTACAAGGGGGATAACAAGTATCAATGGCAGGAAGATACAGGAAGATTTCAATCATAAGATTGTTGATATCTCATGCTGTCCTAAGATATTACCCTCAGATTTGATGGCCAGTCAGTGTTCTCCAGAGAAACAGAACCAATTGGATGTATATGTAGGAGCCAATGCCCTTGGGCCCCTGAATGTTCACTGAAAAATCAGCTCGTAAGAGGCTCATTCATTGGAGAAAGGCACACAAATTTATTTAATGTGTGTACATGGGAGCCTTCAGAATGATGACCCAGTGATACAGGAGAAATTATCCATTTGTATGCATAAGTTCAATAAATATGAATAGCCATGTAGAAATAGGATTGGACAAAAAGTGTATGCCCTAATGTTCCTAGACTGAGTGGGGAAACTGAGCAAGGCCTGTCTGTCTAGATTCTTCTTGGCCTCTCTGAGCAGCATTCTTTTGCTCTGGGTATGGGGCAGGACCCTCTCTGAAATGGAGGTCTTATGACCTACAGTCAAACAAAGTAAGTCAGATCATTTGTTTATGGCCAGTTTATACACAGAAAGGTAGGGGGAAATTAGACTAATATTTCTAGGTTTGATGGCTAGCTTTAGGGAAAAGGGGTTCTGGTTTCTATGACCTTCCTTGAGGAATACAAATTCTAGCTTTTATGGCTAGCCTTGAGGGAGAGAGACAGGACTGAGAGACAGGAAGGCAGGAGAAAAATCAGAGAAAACTTTTGCTTTTGAGACCCTTACATTGGGTATTGTTTTATGAATCCCAAGATATGTCTTCATAGAAAAAGGTGTATTCTAGAGAGGTGGCCCATGTGATTATGGAGATTGACAAATCTCAAGATCTGCAAGGTGAGTCATCCAACTGGAGACCCAGGAGGGTTGTGGGTGTAGCTCCAGTCCAAGGATCAGCTGGCTCCACACTCAGGGAGAGCTGATGTTTCAGAGCAAGTCCAAAGGCAGAAAAAAAGCTAATGTTGCAGCTTGAGAGCCATTAGGCAGAAAAAAAAAATCTCTTACCCAAGGAAGAGTCAGCCCTTTTATTCTATTTAAGCCCTTGACGGATTAGGGATTGGATGAGGCCTTGCCCTGTTAGGGAGGACTATCTACTTTACTCAGTCTACTAATTTAAATGTTACTTGCATCCAAAAACACCCTCTAAGAAACACCTAGAATATCTGGGTGCTTCCTGGCTCAGTCAGGTTGACACATACAGTTCGTCATCACAAGTGAGAGTTGTTTCTATCCAGAGACTGATTGATTGATTTCAATCCAGGTGTAGACAGCATGGTCAGAATTTTCAGTCAAACTAAAAAAATTTATATCTGGGTGGTGATTCAGACATAGCTCAAACAAGCTCCAGACTTTTAAAAATAAAGAAAAGTCTCAACGTGCTCAGAAATCTCGTGAAACCCAGGCAACCATGCCAGAATTGTTCAAGATTCGAAACGGTGCACTGCATTTCAGGATAGTTGTCTAAACCACTTCTCACACCTAGAATACCAGCAAAAGGCACACTCTCCTCTCATCAGTTCAAATTTTATTTGCCATTTTTGTTTCTCCTATTGTTTCTTCTCATGGACCAGTCCCAGAAAACAGAAAAGAAAAATGAAATGTGAGCATTTAAAATGTATTTTTGATTAGAGGACTTTTATAGGATCCAAGGAACTGTAAAGCTCCCAGCTCTGACAGTGCCCCAGTTCCCATTTAATCTTCATTTCTCCATTTCTAGTCAGCTGTGAGTGCAGATGTTGAAGTCTTGTTTGTTTATCAGGGGGCCAAGAAGATTTATGGTTGGGTGCATGTTCGGCTGCCTTCCATGCCCTCCTGGCACAGCTCCTGAGCTGCACAGCACAGGGGACACTTAAGCATGCTTAATGGGAAAGTCCGTCCCACATGTCCCCTGCAGTTCTCATCTGGTGATTTTTCAGCTTCTGCTTTGGTTGAAGTTAAGGTAATTACAAAGTTATTATTTGTCATTTCCATTATCTTTGGGGTCAGAAAGACATCTGTTGAAAGTTAGCATCATCTGTCATTTACGCCAGCTGGCGGCCAGCACCTGAGTGGACTTAAAAAGTGAGGCAAGGGGCTAGGTGTCCACGGAGAGTAGCTCCGTGCATGTCTGTGTGTGTGTGCATGTGTGTGTGTATATGCCTGCGTGTGTGTGTATGTGTGTGTGCGTGCGTGTGTGTATGTGTGCGTGTGGGCATGTGCATGCCTGCGTGTGCGTGCAAAAGAACCCAACCCTGCAGTGAAGAAGCCTGTGCTTTCTTGCAACATCAGTAATGATGAGCTGTAAAGAAACACGGAGTGCCACTGTCCACAATATTCTCCGCGTTTTTGAGTCACTTATGTGGGAAAAGTAATGAAGTCAGATGAACTATTCCTAGTTTCCTTCCTGCCGGGCTTTTTTTTTTTTTTTTTCTTAACTTGTACCACATAGTTCTCTTTTCAGAGTGGAAATGAGAAAATGGTCTGGGGTTTAAAATGCTGTTTTATTCAATGAAGAAATATAAGTGATGTATGTGGTCTGTCCTGGCCTTTTGAGTCAGCAAACCACCACAGTGTTTACACATTCAAAGTTATCAGTCGATCCTTCAGTTCAAGGCCAGCATTTTTTTTGTTTTGAAGGGTAAGAAAGAAGATAGGCTAGGCTGTAGCCGAAAAGCAGCCATAGTCAGCGTGTAAATGAATGTGTGTCTATGTTCCAATGAAACTTTATTTTTTTGAGGCAGAGCCTTGCTCTTTTACCCAGGCTGGAGTGCAGTGGTGCAATCATAATTCACTGCAGCCTCAAACTCCTGGGCTCAAGCAATCCTCCCACCTCAGCCTCCTAAGTAGTTGGGATGATAGGTGCATGCCACCACTCCCAGTTTTTTTTTTTTTTTTAATTTGTGGAGACAGAGTCATCTTATATTGCCCAGGCTGGTCTCAAATTTCCTGGCCTCAAGTGATCCTCCCTGCCTCGGTCTCCCTAAGTGCTGAGGTTACAGGAGTGAACCACCACAGCTGGCAATAAAACTTCATTTACCAAAACAGGCAATGGGGGCAGATTTGGCTCATAGGCCATAGTCTGTGAACCCCTGATTTTACTGACATTCCACAAATCTTGACCCTGAAGAAATAGGCATAAAATAGAGGCTTGCGATGGGATTGTAGAGCAAGAAGAGAGAAGAGCAAGGAGTCCTATATAGGTTCCCCAGGTATTGGGCTTGTTGTGATGCCCCAGAATCCCTCTGAGCAGCATGTTCACCACAATCTTTCCCTAAAGCTTATACCTACTGATGCAGACTAATCTTCCTTCAGGATGATGCTTTGCAAATCCAATTTTGTTTTATATGCTCTGAGAAGATAAAATGTTGGTACAGATCTTTCTCTTAGCACCTTGAAAATATGGGTAATGTTCAAAATTCCCTAAAGCTGAGCATTCAGATATTCAGAATACAACTGTTATCTGAGCTTAAACCATGGATTGTTACAGTTTTTGGATTACCTCACTTACCAAAAGGAAAACTAGCAATGTGGGTGTGTTAATAGTCTGCTCCTTTGTTAGATGGGAAGAATTTCACCTAATCCTCAAAGAGGAAAATGAAATCTTTATAGATCAGTGAAGTTAGTCCAAATGTCAGTGCAGAGAATGATGATATGCCGGACTGAAGACCAGAACTCAGCCTTCAGTGTGTTGAGCATTCGACAGGATTTAGAAAGTGGGGGATAAACTTTTAGTTCATTTTCACAAATGCCTTTACCTTTTCTCATAGGTTCATTTCAATTTGATCAGTTTAGGGAATATTATTCTGTTCCTTTGGATTTAGGGATTTGATTCTATTCTACTCAAGATGTTCTTCAAATTAATAGGAAACCAGGACTCACTTGAGCTTTCCTAAAATAACAAATTAACCAAAACCAAAGAAGTTTACAAAGACCCTAAAAATAATAAAGCAAGAATAAAGAAAAGAGCTAAAATTTAAGAATAAAGTTAAAGATGATCCATATTTAATATATGTATCTTTATTCCACTGATAAATTAGTTCTGAAAAACTTTCTCTTCCTATGGAGTCAGAAACTGGGGAGCTTGAGAGATTTACAGTAAGATGCAAAGCAGCATCCTTTACACAAATAACACTAACCAATATGCTTACATCAACTCCACTGGGTTTTCCAGGTATATGGTTGAAGGTTTATGTGGACCAGCTGGAAAAGTTGCTGCAACATCCTAATGAACATCTGCTACTTTCCAAACTCAACCACTCATTATGAAGGTTGTGGACACCTAAAAAGGGCTATAAAAGAAACAACCGTTCTTGTCCACTTGAGATTGGGAATAAACTGCTTTAGAGAAGATATAAATATGTTCAATTTATATAAATCAGGAAAAAAAAGAAATCTATGTATTTTGGAGACTAAAAATTTCTTAACAAGCCCTTTAAGATACTGCTTTTAACATCAATTAGCTTTATTTAGTACAAGCCAGTAAAAAATGGCCTCTCAATAAAATACCTTAGCTGTAACTCTGACTATATTCCTTCAATAGTGTTTCAATAAATCAGAGATAGATATTGATGAGCCATTGTAAATGTAAGTAGAAATGTGATTATTTTTACTATTGTATGAAATGCTTTGCCTGCATTAGACATTTGGTACTAGATGGCAGTAGATTGATTGCTACATGACTAGTAATTGATATAAATGTTATATGTTGGCATGAATTGCAATCCCATATAAAATACTGATTTAGAATAAATTGAAAAATAATTGGAAGGTGAAAAAACTTGACATTTTGGAAGTTGAACAATTTACATATATTTCAACATTATGTCAAATTCTTTATTTCATATGCTAAAATTAAAATAATTGACAGAAATTGCTTTAAGAATGTATATCTAAAATATAATTTCCACTTAAAAAATAAAATTTGAGTGGTTAAATCTGTCTTTACTATTGGGAATAATTTGGATGACCAACAGGCATGGCCATTCAGGAAAATGTTACCTCAGAGATATCTCACACTTCTTCAGTTATGAAATAAAGAAGAGGCTTTACACAGTCATGGGCTCAGTTTTACTTTTCTGGATTTATTATCAAAACTACAAAGATATTGATAGCATACAGAAATAATTATTAAAAGCCTTTCCAACACACAATTTGCATTATTGACTAATTACAATGTAAATACTTTAATTGAAACAATTACCAGTGGAGACTGCAAAAGCTCAATACTGTATAGATTGACTATTAATTTGTTAAACAAGGATTGCTTGCTTAATGCTTATTCTGTATATTACATTGTACTGGGAGCAATGGAAGTCAACAGTGAGTTATGTTTTAGGGTTACCCTTACCAGCAAGCTCTGGGACTAATTCATCTTTATATCATCCATAATGGCTAGAACAATCTTAGTAATAACTAACAGTAGTTATAAGCATTACTAGTTGCTATTTATCAAAATGTATCAAATTTATCCAAATTCCCATATGGAATCTACTGGGAACACACATGTAGATAAAAAAACAATTAACCTAAGGCTCAAATACGAGAATGATCTAATGAATTTAAAAATAGAAATTGTGAAACTGCCTTTGCAAAGATTATGACATCCAGAGAAGACTACCATGGCTGACTCCATCTTGCTTCTGGCCTCACGGGCTAGCTATCCTCCTTCATTCCTGGGCATAGGCCAAGTTAACCATGGGAGGAATTTAATTCACAGTTTAACTTGAAAGCAATGATGATAATAGTCCCTCCCTAAAACTGATGCCTTCCTCCTTCAAGTACTGAAACTGTCTTGGTAAGACTAATGAAAGGCCACAGGATAAGGATTATGGGAGGGGCCTGAATTCTGCTAAGAAACAGGGGTAGCTAAACAATAACCAGCCATTGTCCCCTAGTTCATTCGTTTTCTTTCTTTCTCTTTCTTTCTTTCTTTCATTCTTTCTTTCTTTCTTTCTTTCTTTCTTTCTTTCTTTCTTTCTTTCTTTCTTTCTTTCTTTCTTTCCTTCCTTCCTTCTTCCTTCCTTCCTTCCTTTCTCTCTCTCTCTCTCTCTATTTCTTTCTTTCTTTCTCTCTTTCTTTTCTTTTTTTGAGACAGAGTCTCGCTCTGTCCCAGGCTAGAGCACAGTGGCGCAATCTCAGCTCACTGCAACCTCTGCCTCCTGGGTTCAAGCAATTCTTCTGCCTCAGCCACCTGAGTAGCTGGGATTACAGACACGCACCAGCATGCCCAGCTAATTTTTGTATTTTTAGTGGAGGGATTTTTGCCATGTTAGCCAGGCTGGTCTCAAACTCCTGACCTCAGGTGACCCACCTGCCTTGGCCTCCCAAAGTGCTGGGATTACAGGTGTGAGCCACTGTGTCTGGCCCTTAGTTTTTCTATAATCTCTTACTGTTCAGGAGTCATGTGGCCAGAGTTCACAAGGTTTGTGACTTCTCCAATTGTTCCTGTAGATAATATCACTATTGTAGAACCTAAGATTGGTCTTTTCAGATATTTTTCAGACTTTTGTTTTCTGGGAAGTGACTGACCCCACCTGGACTTGTGACTCATGACTGAATTGGCCCTCTGGCCCTCACCCAGAGGTGGATTCAGTGCAGGAGGAACCATTTTCCACACCCCTATGATTTGACTTAGAACTGATCAGCAGCACCCATTTCCTAGCCCCTGCCCACCAGATTATCGATAAAAACCCTAGTCTCTGAGTTCTCAGAGAGGCTGACTTGAGTAATAACAAGCTCCTGTCCTTCTGCTTGGCTGGCCTTTCATTAAACAAATGTTTTCTTTACTGCAATAACACTGTCTCAGTGAATTGGGTTTATCTGTGCAATGAGCAAGAAGAACCCATCAGGCAGTTTCAACTGGGCTATATAATATGTTTAATAAGGTGATATGTGTACTCTGCTTGACCTCTGATACCAAATAATTTTCATTTTTGCTGTTTTATTTAATAATTAATAAAAACATCATGCACATCTCAAAGAGACTAAAGGAAAATGTGCTACATATGTCCCTCCAAAAGGAACAATACACATTATTTCTTATTATCTTATAATCGATTTCAAATTCTTAGCTATATGAGTCTTTTTTTTTTTTTTTTTTTTTTTGCTTTTTTTGAGATGAAGTTTCACTCTTATTGCCCAGGCTGGAATGCAGTGCCACAATCTTGTCTCACTGCAACCTCTACCTCCCGGTTCAAGTGATTTTCCTGCCTGCCTCAGTCTCCCAAGTAGCTGGGATTATAGGCATGATAGGCATGCTTCACCTTGCCTGGCTAATTCTGCATTTTTAGTAGAGATGAGGTTTCACGATGTTGATCAAGCTGTTCTCAAACTCCTGATCTCAGGTGGTTCACCCGCTTCGGCCTCCTAAAGTGCTGGGATTACAGGCGTGAGCCACTGTGCCTGGCAAGAGTCTTTTTTAAACTTTAGAGATGTGTGTGCAGGTATCCTTGCTCTGGGTCTATGTGGCTTTAAAGATATATGTTTAAAAAGAATGTGACAAACTGATAAAAATCTGGGAAGTGATAAGCCATGTACTCAAATAAGTTTCACAGATTTTCTAAGCATAAAAGAACACACCTGATATTTTCTGTATAACCTAAGCCTCACCCTTGCTTGAGGAAATGGCTCCTCATTGTTTCTTTTGTTGTTATTAAGATAACTGTGTTTCTCTTGCTTTCATCTTCTCTTTCATGGCAGGGCTTCCAAGTCCTGCGTAAATACAAATGCATAAGTGCAGGATACTTGGAATGTCCCGACTACAGGAACAAAGGACATAGTTTCTCATTTACATGCCCTGGAATGTGAGAAGTCAAGGTGGCGTAAGGCAGGGTTAGTGATCCAGGCATCAAGATACTTGTATTCCAGTGTTAGCTTTGCTAGTAGTCACCTTTGGACCTTGAACAAATCCCTTAACATCTCTGAGCTTCAGTTATGTAATCTATAAGATGACCTGATTACTAGCATGCAAATCTCAGTTTCTAATACCATTTGCCAGTTAAATGAACCAGTGCTACTTAGAAAAATGGCTGATTTGAGGACTGAGGCAGGGAATATGTCAAATGAGCCTGGAGCATCTTGTAGTGCCAGAAAGTAAAAGAGAGCTCCAAAAAGTAATATTATAGGGACACAGGAGCCAATTGAAAGAGCTCCCAATGGCTAAAATTAGAACTATTTGAGATATATGTGTGTGTGTGTGTGTGTGTATATATATATATGTGTGTATATGTATACATATATGTAATATAGTATTGGATTATAATCCAAAGCATAATGCAAAGTATAAAATACCTATCTATGAATTCATATTGATATAAATAACTAATTGAATGAATGAATAAACAGATAAATAAGAGATAAGATACAAATTGTCCATACAAAATAATTCCAAATAATTTATATAAATTTTCTTCCCTCAAGGACATAGAGCATAACTACCTACCCCTGAAATGTGGGCTGTACTTTGTACCTTACTCCCAAGAAGTACATATGAAACATGGAACAAAAAAGTAACTTTCCAGTGCAGAAACCTGGCAAGCACTATTCAGCATAATCAAGGCTAAGATCATGAGTGATAAGTCATGTTGATAGCATGTACCCTTTGTATGATATAATGAGAAGGGTATTTTATCTTTGTAGATGTAGAAGAGAAAAATAATTTTCTCCTTCACCCTTAATGAGTTCTTAGCTGGGATTTCCTCTATGAAAAGACAGATAAACAAGAGGAAAACAAACAGGAGTTTAATATATGTACACCAGAGGTATACATCAGGAGTTATATTCTGGGAGATATCCAGAGACATGAGTAAATCTCTGGAGTAGAACTCAAAGAACTCTCTTAGACTTCAGACTAAATATCATCTTTCTCAGAAATAAAGAAGTGACTGGGGAAAGTCCCAGTTAGCTGTAAAACAAAACCTTGTATTGCAGATTTAAATTCATGCCATTGATAATAATCTCTAATGATTTAGTCATCCTTCTCTTCCTAGTGCAGAGGGGAAGACACCCTTACAAATGGAGATTTCCTTTATATGTAAATTTTTCATACAAACAAGTAACTTCTCAGAGCTTCTCCTGTGTCTGCAGTTTCTCAAAATAACAGCTCAAAATACTCCTTATGCTAAACAGGCTTCCTTTGAAGCAGCATGTTCTGGCCCCTAGAATCATATTTTAGGGTGCTATATTCTGAGCTCTATACTAGACTTCTTCTCTAAAACTCATAATCCCAGTGTAACCATGAGAAAAAAAACATCAGACAAACTCTACTTGAGAGTGTCAGTTGAAGACTAATGAGGTCATAAATTTGGAAAGAAGAGCTTTATTTCTCATACAAAGTGCTACAGCCTGCAGGGTGGCCATTCTGACCAGCAGGGAAGCTTCTGGTTAGAAGCCAGAAAGAGGCACTTGAAGGGAGGAACGAAGGGGACAGAAATATATGCAGTGCAGAATGGCCAAATATACACATTCAATAAGCTGTAGGCAGATCCATGAATATTTGTGAAAGGAGAAATGTGTGCATGTGCAACTGAGCTTTGTGCTTCTTCATGGGTCCCATGTATAAAAGATGGCAGTGTTAGCATAATCCTGGGGTGGAGTTTTTGGTCCTCTGATTTCAAAGGTGAAGCAAAGGACACAAAAATTCTCACTGTTCATCCTCTGTAGACTGACCAGAACCACTCTGTAGTCAGTTGGTAGTCTCTTATCAGGAAGAAATGCTGGTCAGTTCTGTCAAAAATTGCAAAAGGGAGGGGCAGCAATGAGGTTTGGTTGAAGCCAGGTGTGGAGTCTTGCAAGGGCTTGTTTCTGTTTAGTCCTTAGGGAAGAAATCATCAAAGTAGTTAGTGAGTGAAGGGGTATAATGAGGTGTGCTCAACCTCCCATCTATCTCATTGCCATGAAGTCCATTTTCAAGATTTTTTCTGGGGTCCCCTTGGCCAAGAGCAGATCTGTTCAATCATTTGGTGGCTTAGAATTTTATTTTTATTTCTTAAGTGACATACTACAAAATTCCTAACTAGTATTCTTCAAAACTGTCAGGGCCATCAAAAATAAGGAAAGTCTGCAAAACTGTCACTCTCAAGAGGATCCTTAGCAAATAATGTGTTATTGGTAGCTTGATGGGGATAGCATTGAATCTATAAATTACTTTGGGCAGTATGGCCATTTTTGCAATATTGATTCTTCCTATCCATGAGCATGGAATATTTTTCCATTTGATTGTGTCCTTTCTTATTTCCTTGAGTAGCAGTTTGTAGTTCTCCTTGAAGAGGTCCCTCACATCCCTTGTAAGTTGGATTCCTAGGTATTTTATTTTCTTTGTAGCAATTGTGAATGGGGGTTCACTCATGATTTGGCTCTCTGTTTGTCTATTATTGGTGTATAGGAATGCTTCTGATTTTTTGCACATTGATTTTGTACCCTGAGACTGCTGAAATTGCTTATCAGCTTAATAAGGAGATTTGGGGCTGAGATAATGCGGTTTTTCTAAATATACAATCATGTCATCTGCAAACAGAGACAATTTGACTTCCTCTCTTCCTGTTTGAATACCATTTATTTCTTTCTCTTGCGTTGTTCCCCTGGCCAGAACTTCCAATACTATGCTGAATAGGAGTGGTGAGAGAGGGCATCCTTGTCTTGTGCTGGTTTTCAAAGGGAATGCTTCCCGCTTTTGCCCATTCGGTATAATATTGGCTGTGGGTTTGTCATAAATAGCTCTTATTATTATTGACCTTCTTCACAGAATTAGAAAAAAATGACTTTAAATTTCATATGGAACCAAAAAACAGCCCATATAGCCAAGACAATCCTAAGCAAAAAGAACAAAGCAGGAGGCATCACACTACCTGACTTCAAACTATACTACAAGGCTACAGTAACCAAAATAGCATGGTGCTGGTACCAAAATAGACACATAGATCAAAGGAATAGAACAGAGGCCTCAGAAATAACACCACACATCTACAACTATCTAATCTTTGACAAATCTGACAAACACAAGCAATGGGGAAAGGATTCCCTATTTAACAAACGGTGTTGGGAAAACTGGCTAGCCATATGCAGAAAGCTGAAACTGGATCCCTTCCTTACACCTTGTACAAAAATTAACTCAAGATGGATTAAAGACTTAAACATAAGACCTAAAACCATAAAAACCCTAGAAGAAAACCTAGGTAATACCACTCAGGACATAGGCATGGGCAAAGACTTCATGACTAAAACACCAAAAGCAATGGCAACAAAAGCCCAAATTGACACACGGAATCTAATTAAACTAAAGAGCTTCTGCACGGCAAAAGAAACTATCATCAGAGTGAACGGGGAACCTACAGAATGGGAGAAAATTTTTGCAATCTATTCATCTGACAAAGGGCTAATATCCAGAATCTACAAAGAACTTAAACAAATTTACAAGAAAAAAACCAAACAACCCCGTCAAAAAAGTGGGCCAAGGATATGAACAAATACTTCTCAAAAGAAGACATTCATGTGGCCAACAAACATACAAAAAAAAGCTCATCATCACTGGCCATTAGAAAAACGCAAATCAAAACCACAATGAGATACCATCTCATGCCAGTTAGAATGGTGATCATTATAAAGTCAGGAAACAACAGATGCTAGAAAGGATGTGGAGAAATAGGAACGCTTTTACACGGTTAGTGGGAGTGTAAATTAGTTCAACCATTGTGGAAGACAGTGTGGCAATTCCTCAAGGATCTAGAACCAGAAATACCATTTGACTCACCAATCCCATCACTGCACATATACCCGAAGCATTATAAATCATTCTACTATAAAGACACATGCACATGTATGTTTACTGCAGCACTGCTCACAATAGCAAACACCTGGAACCAACCCAAATGCCCATCAATGATAGACTGGATAAAGAAAATGTGGCACATATACACCATGGAATATTATGCAGCCTTAAAAATGTTGAGTTCATGCCCTTTGCAGGGTGAGGCTGGAAACCATCATTCTCAGCAAACTAACACAAGAACAGAAAACCTAACACCGCATGTTGTCACTCATAAGTGGGAGATGAACAATGAGAACACATGGACACAGGGAGCGGAACATCACACAACCAGGCCTGTCGGGGGTGGGAGGCTAGGGGAGGGATAGCATTAGGAGAAATACTTAATGTGGATGACGGGTTGATGGATGCAGCAAACCACTATGGCATGTGTATACCTATGTAACAAATATGCACGTTCTGTACATGTATCCCAGAACTTAAACTATAAGAAAAAAAAAAAGTTGATTGCGTTAGATAAATAATTTTTTTAAAATGTGGTATTTTGAATGAGATCCTGGAATAGAAAAAGGAGGTTAAGGAAACATAAATGAAATCCATATAAATAAGAAAATTTAGTGACTAAAATATATCCATATTGTTTATTATTTATGATAAATGTGCTGTAGTCATGTAAGATGTAAACAACAGAGGAAATTAATATGAGATATATGGAAAATCTCTGTATTATCATTGCATTTTTTCCTGTAAATTTAAAACTATTATAAAATAAAAGGTTTATTAAAATATTTTTAAATGACGTGGTTGGACTAGATTTTACATATTACCTTTTTAGTGTTCTGTGACTTTAACACCTGACTGTTAAAGTGTTATTCCTTTGTGCATTTGAGCTAAAATAAGTCTATTTGATAAAGTACAGTTCATTATAGCACATACAGAGGAATCTTGTGTCCTCAACTGTCTTGTCTTCCTAGCCCCAAACACTGAATTCTGAATACATGTTAATTACATTAAAAAAATTGTTATGATGATCATTTTCCCCCATTAAATAAATAGAAACAGATTTTGACTCAGGAAAGAAAACTGTTCTTGATTTATTGTACACTCTTTTCATCCTTAAGAAACCCCGCCCCCCAGCTAACAAACAATTGCAAAGTTTTTGAATGCATAGCACTTACATTCACATTGTAAGTCTATTAAAAAGTCTATTAAAATTTTGTGGCTAGGCATGGTGGCTCATGGCTGTAATTACAGCACTTTGGGAGGCCAAGGCAGGCAGATCACTTGAGGTCAGGGGTTCGAGACCATCCTGGCCAATATGATGACACCCCTGTCTCTACTGAAAATACAAAAATTAGCCTGTCGTGGTGGCACATGCCTGTGATCTCAGATACTCAGGTGGCTGAGGCAGGAGAATCGCTTGAACCCAGGAGGCAGAGGCTGCAGTTAGCCGAGATTATGCCACTCCACTCCAGCCTGGGCAACAGTAAGACTCTGTCTCAAAAAAAAAAAAAAAAACAAACAAACAAAAAAAAAAACTTTGCATTGCAATAGTTTCTTATGCATACTTTATACGTAACACAGTCATGTGCTACATAATGGCGTTTTGATCAACAATGGACCAAATATATGATGGATGTCCCATAAGATTATAATGGAGCTGAAAATTTCTTGTCACCTGGTGATGTCATAGCCATCCTAATGTAATAGCAACATGCGTTACATGTTTGCGATGACGCTGTTATAAACAAAGTTACTGAGCTGCCAGTCTTAGAGATGTCTAGCACTTACAGTTATATACAGTACCTAATACTTGATAATGGTAATAAATGACTATGTTACCGGTTTATGTATTTACTACACTTTTTATTGTTACTTTAAAGTGCACTCCTACATATATATGTGTATGTATATATATATCTATGTGTGTATATATATGTCTGAGTGTGTGTGTGTGTGTGTGTGTGTATAATGAACAGTAAAACAGCCTCAGGCAGGTCCTTCAGGAGGTATTCCCAAAGAAGGCACTGTTATCGCAGAAGATGACAGCTCCATGCCTGTTACTGCCCCTGAAGACCTTCCAGTGGGACAAGATGTGGAAGTGGAAGACAGTGATATTGATGATCCTGACTCTTTGTAAGCCTGGGCTAATGTGTCTGTTTGTGTTTTAGTTTTTAACAAAAAAATTTAAAAAGTAAAGAAAAAACTAAGATATCTTAAAAATGGAAAAGAGCTTATAGAATAAGGATATAAAGAAAGAAAATATTTTTGTACAGCTGTGCAATGTGTTTGTGTTTCAAGCTAAGTATTATTACAAAAAAGTCAAAAAGATTTAAAGAATTAAAAACTTTATAAAACAAAAAGTCACAGTAAGCTAAGGTTAATTTGTTATAGAAGAAAGATTAAAAAATAAATTTAGTGTAGGCTAAGAGTGCAGGGTTTATAAAGTCTTCAGTAGTGCACAGCAATATTCTAGACTTTTGCATTCACTCACCACTCACTCACTGACTCAGAGCAACTTCCAGTCCTAGAAGCTCCATTCATGGTAAATGCTCTGATATGGTTTGGCTGTGACTCAACCCAAATCTCATCTTGAATTGTAGCTCCCATAATCCCCACATGTCATGGGAGGGACCCAGTGGGAGGTAATCGAATAATGGGGTCAGTTTCCCCCATGCTATTTTCATAATATTAAGTTCCCGTGAGATCTGATGGTTTTATAGGGGGCTTCCCCTTTTGCATAGCTCTTACTCTTCTCTCTTCTGCCGCCATGCAAAGAAGGACGTGTTTGTTTCCCCTTCTGCCATGATTGTAAGTTTCCTGATGCCTCGCCAGCCGTGCAGAACTATGAGTGAATTAAACCTTTTTCCTTTATAAATAACCCAGTTGCAGGTATGTCCTTACAGCACCATAAGAACGGACTAATAGATGCTTTATATAGGTGTATCATATTAAATCTTTTTTACTATATTTTTACTGTACCTTTCCTATGTTCAGCTATGTTTAGATAAACAAACACACTATGTTACAATGACCTACAGTATTCAGCACAGTAACCTGCTGCACTGGTTTGCAGCCTAGGAGAAGTAAGCTATACCTAGGTGTGTGGTAGGCTGTACCATCTAGGTTTGTGTAAGTACAGTGTATGATGTTTTCACAACAAGGAAATTGCCTAATGACACATTTCTCAGGAGGTATCTCTGTTGTTAAGAAAAAAGACATTGCAACTATAACTAATTTTTAGTGTCACAACATAAGCAAATTCATTCACAGTCCTCACTCTTACTTTGGCACTTGTGCAGCTCAGCCCTGGAGGCGGTAGTTTGTAAGTTGTAAACTTTCTGCAAGTCCTGGTGACAGGGTTACTTGAAGGACTAAACTAGGCTAAGCTCTGTGGTAGCTGGAATGGATCTGCTCACTTCCTTTAGAGGCAGAAATTTGAGAAGCGGGAAGGAGTTGAGGAACCTCTTAGATACCTTCGAGCAAACCAGTCCACCTAATTAGAAGTGGTGTAATCTCCCTTTCCTTTCCTGCATGATTATAAATAGGAAGAGGATTTTAGAGGCAATATATTTATAAGGTAAAAATTTGACCTTGGAAATACTTAAGGATTTCTGATTTCTTATGGTGGCTTTGCTTTGTGACCGAGACTCCATCGTGCTGGGCTTCCCTGTCATCTCCATATCCTCATGGATCTCTAATTTCTCTACTCCAGGGCATGATTAGCCAAACCCTGTCTTCTCCGCTAGAAGTACTACAGGAATGAGTAAGTGAGGATCTGTTGGGGGCTTTGTGAGGTATGATCTATTTAAATGTGAAGATATTACTAAAATCACCACCACGTAGTTGGCAAAAGGCAAAATCTCAGAGCAGCAGCTATATCTGCCAATCATTTCAGAGAGACTGAAATATGCTGCCCAGTGAAGCAGGACCCTTGCTTTAAATGAGATGAGAGGAGGAAAAAAAAAAAAAAAGTATAAAAAAAGGATTTCTCAATGTGGTGACTCAAGCCTGTAATCCCAGCACTTTGGGAGGCTGAGGCGGGCAGATCACCTAAGGTCAGGAGTTCAAGACCAGCCTAACCAACATGGTGAAACACAGTCTGTACTAAAAATACAAAAATTAGCTAGGCATCGTGGTGGGCACCTGTAATCCCAGCTACTCGGGAGGCTGAGGCAGGAGAACAGCTTGAACCCGGCAGGCAGAGGTTGCAGTAAGCGGAGATTGTGCCACTGAACTCCAGCCTGAGCGACAGAGAGAGACTCTGTCTCAATAAAAAAATAAAAATAAAAATAAAAATAAAAAAACAAAGATTTTGAAAGTAACATTATGATGGAAAGATAAAAGCGATATTTGAGACACATATTTATTTGTTTACTCTTTTCATGAAATCTTCTGTAATCACACTTTTTGTCTATTTGTTTTGAATTAATACTTTTCTTTGGTTAAATTGTTAAATCCTACTACACTGACTCAAAATTGGTAATTGGTAACAAATGAAGTAAGATCAGCTATAATTTACCTTTGCAAAATCTCTGTATTTTTCATTTGCTTAAAATAAATCTATATATCTTCATTAAATGGTCCCAAATGGTTTAAACTATTCAAGAGAATAACCTTTTTAAGAGAAGTATAAAAGTCATTGAAAACTTCAGTTATTAATCGTAATTTCAATTTATTTTAATATCATAAACTTGTTTGAAGATTTTCACCAGCAACAGTTTGCCCCTGGTGTCCAAGTGGTTATAAGTACCAACATAATAACATTATGTCAATATGGAAGTACCGTAAAAGTCAGCTCTTTTAATACTTCATATTCATCTTGGCCCGAAGTATTAGTATTAGTATTTCTGTGTGTGTGTTTTGAATGTTAGGGTACTGAACTCATATGGCTTTATTTTACCCCTTTTGAATGCTTAGGGTTTTATGATCTAATGTTTGGGGTGGTAGTAGCCAAAATGTTTTATTTCAATCAGAGACTGCTTTCGTGGACAGAATTCTCATCCATTTTCTTGCTTGAGAACTCAATCTGCATGGTATCATAATATGACTCTTTATGGAATTGCTTGTGTTAGTCAAAGAAAGAGTTAAAGCAGCAATTGAGACTCTATTAATGAGTCTTTGTTGGCTTGGAATAGTATAGGTTGGGAGGGACATCTTTGTAGTTACATGCTTCTTCATTTTATGGATGATAAAGTAGGTTCCAGAAGAACAGATGGCTCATCCAAGCCACCCAGAGCCAGTCAGGTGCATCTGAACCAGGTTTCCCCAAAACATGCCTCATGTGTGTTGGTGCTTCTGATGAACTGTTGGGACCTTCCCCACGCTCTTCTCTGCCATTCAGGCCCAGTACTAGTTGCCACTATTTAAAAGCTTCCTGCAAGTAGTAAATTACTGTCAGAGAACAATAACCTCTATGGAGCTGCTTTCACGGGGCTGCTTGAACATCCGGCAAACTATTTCATCTTCAAGGGTGGAGCAGAGATTGGCGAAAAGTCTTCAAGGCACATGCTTATCACACCATTGTTTTCCATTGAGCCCTATCCTCATTTTGCTGGTGTCATGCATTTCTGTTGTTGCCTGAGAAGCATCTCTTTACCTCACTTTAAGAACATGAACTTTGAATGCATGAGGTTAATTACAAGAAATATTGGTACCTAGAAAAGCCTATTCTTTTAAAGGGTAACACATCAAACTGCCCTAATTTAGACTCAACTAATAAGATAATTAACTGAATTTTAAAAATAAAGAATCTATGGGTCCAAGGGTGCTCTATTATGGCTATATTCTCAAATGTACTGTACAATTCTCCCAGACAGCCACTATTTTCTTCTATTGATTCCCCTTGTGTTTCCCTCCCAAAGCTGAGAGTTTGGTCAAAGATGATGATCTTTTCTTTAAGGACAAGAACTGTATGTAGTTAGGAATATTAATGTAGCTTCAATTCCCTTCTACAGCCTCCATATCAGCAGCTAAATGCCATTTATTTAAGTTTATAGAAAACAAATTAGAGCTGAGAACTTTTCAGATCTATATTGAGTACTCAATTTCCATTTCTATGTAGCAAATTTACAAACTTTTAGAAGCAATAAAACATAATTCTATTAGAAACATACATTCTCTAATATTGTAATTGCATGCTTTTAAGTTGCTCAACAATCTGTTGTTGTTTTTTTTTTTCTTTTCCATAGGCAGCATTGTGTGGGTTACTGCAATATTAAAATGGCAGAGTTCCCTGACCTCCCTTGCAGGACAAGTGACAGAGGTATGTCTCATCTGTTCAACCACCATGTGCTCAAACCTCTTACAGGATGGGAAGCAGTACATAGACGTGCAGGTGCAGGAGCTGGGGCAAGCACTTTTGGGATCCAGCCCCATGATAGTGTCTAGGGGTGGGTGCCTGCAACTCCCGAAGACCCAGTGGGCATGTTACGGTTATCTTTTAGCTCTGCTGTTCGCAGACAGCTTAAGTGTTAACCAGCTCAGTGCCCTCTTAGTACCTGGGACATTGTCTGGCATCCAGAAAGAATCAGGTCACATGGACAAATTGAAGGATGGTAAATGTGGGAGATTTTATTGCTGAATGGAGGTGGCTCTCAGTGGGATGGATGAGGAGCTGGAAAGGGGATGGAGTGGAAAGATGATGTTCCCTGGACTTTGGAGGTCCCACGGCTGATCTTTTCTTTGATCGTCCCCAGCTGAACTCCTCTCTACGTTCAGACACTCCTTCTCTTGTCTCCTTCTCTGCTGTGCTGCTCTTCTGCTTCTCTGTTCCTCTGTTCCTCTGCTCCTCTGTTCTTCGGCTCATGGAGCCTGGGGCTTGGAGTTTATATAGGTACAGGATACAGGGGTGTGGCAGGCCAAAAGGCAACATTTGGGCATGAAAATAGGAATGCCTGTTCCCATTTTGGACCACAGGTTTCCAGGCTTGAGGGTGGATCCTTTGCCAGGGAACCACCCTCTTCTACCCAGTATTTCCCTGCCTCCTGTCCACATTAGTATTGTCAAGTAAATACTACTCAAACATTATATGAATTTATATCCAGGCTAGTAACCACCTTCCCAATCGATTAGCAGTACAGTGATTTACAATAGCTCTGAGAATATACCCTGTGGTCCTTGTGTATACTGAATTGGACTTCTTAATGTTACTGTTTAAATGAAATAAAAATTAGAAAACATTGATTTATATAGCAGGGTGGCTCCTAGATAAAGAAGCAGCAAAATACAGCGATCACTGTATGAAAATCGAGCTTATCAGCCACCTTGGAAAAGGCCAATAGAATGCAAACGTTAGCCACATGCTCTAATTTAGTGAAATCATAGCCACTGAAATCAATAATATTAGCACAAGTTTTTAAAAAAATTAAGTCTGGAACATCATTATGCTCATAAGTTTATGCCCAAATATTTATATAGTGAGAATAATGTTAGAAATCTTTTACTGGTCAGCAATCCATATGTTTTCTTTCCTCTGTAGCATTTACACCATTAATGTAGGTCCATGAGGATTATGGACCCAGAGAAAGGAATAACAATATCTTTTAAAAATCTACAAATGGAGAAGATGAAATATATGACAGGGCTGGAGGTCTGGTTCCAAAGGAAGAGGAAGAAAAGAGCCTCTAGTGGTGATGTATCCGTCCAATGGGTTCACCTTGCCCACTGCTTATACAGAGCTTTATTTATCAAGATGGGGAAACTGCAATAGAGAAAGAGTAATTCATGCAGAGCTGGCTGTGTGGGAAACTGAAGTTTTATTATTACTCAAATCAGTCTCCCCAAGCATTTGGGGATCAGACATTTTAAGGATAGTTTGGGGGACAGGGGGAAACCAGTGAGTTGACAATGCTGATTGGTTGGGTCAGAGATGAAAATCACAGGGATTGAAGCTGTCCGTTTGCGCTGAGTCAGTTCCTGTGTGGGAGCCACAAGGTCAGATGAGCCAGCTTATCCATCGGGGTGGTGCCAGCTGACCCAGGGTCTGCAAAATATCTCAAGCACTGATCTTAGGAGCAGTTTAGGGAGGGTCAGAATCTTGTAGCCTCCAGCTGCATGACTCCTAAACCATAATTTCGAATCTTGTGGCTAACTCGTTAGTCTTACAAAGGCAGTCTAGACCCCAGGCAAGAAGGAGGTTTGTTTTGGGAGAGAGCTGTTACCGTCTTTGTTTTAAACTATAAACTAAGTTTCTCCCAAGGTTAGTTCAGCCTGTGCCCAGGAATGAACAAGGACAACTTGGAGGTTAGAAGCAAAATGGAGTTGGTTACATCAGATCTCTTTCACTGTCTCAGTTATAATTTTGCAATGATGATTTCAGTGAGAGGGGAAATGTGTAAAGATAGTGCAAAGAGCAACAGCTTAGACTTTACTGTTCTGCTTACGATTAAAATCCCTTTGAGACAATAGGAATAAAAACAGCTAGATTGTCCTAAAAAATGCCAGTGGATGATCTTACTTCTCGGTATGTGAGGTTGACAGCAGGATTAAATCAATAATATAAAATAAAGAAAGCTTTATAGTCATCGTCATTATTTACATTTAAGTTGAAGTGCATTCATTTCAACCTTGTTACATTCCTACAATGAATAAGACAAAGAATAAAAAATATATAACTGGGCTATAGGCTAATAGCTCATTTAAATATTAACAATAACTTCTTTGCTTTATTTTATGAATAACTTAAAAAATATATTTACTATGGCTGGGCACTGTGGTTCATGCCTGTAACCCCAGCACTTTGGGAGGCCATGGCAGGTGGATGACGAGGTCAGGAGTTCAAGAGCAGCCTGACCAATATGGTGAAACCCTGTCTCTACTAAAAATACAAAAATTAGCTGGGCGTGGTGGTGTGCGCCTGTAGTCCCAGCTACTTGGGAGGCTGAGGCAGGAGAATCGCTTGAACCCAGGAGACAGAGGTTGCAGTGAGCCAAGATTGCACCATTGCACTCCAGCCTGAGTAACAGAGCGAGACTCCGTCTAAAAAAAAAAATATATATATATATATATATGAAAATTTACTTTCTTCCAAAAGCTATTTATGTATTTAACAAATTAATGAGTTGTGACCACAACAACAACAACAACAAAAAACACAACTGAAAATTTTGACTTAATTGCATGATCTTTAGTTTTTTTTCTTTATGTTATTTAAGTACTTGTGAAACACTTGCCAATTTCAAAGCTCTAACATGTGAATTTAAAGCTAGGTATACATATAAGTACTTTTAAATTAATGCACTTATTGTGGAGAGCAGCTAAAGGAGGGAGTCCACAGGAGAATCACTTTATAGCCTGGGGCTCAGCCAAAAGGGAAGTCTGACATTTATTTATGCTTTGACATCTGCTCTCCCATGGGAGAGACTGGTACTTACCATGCACTGGGGAAGGGATAGCTAGTGGGTAAGGGGAATTGAGGGAGAACCAGAGCAAGAGGTGGGGGCTGTGATGAGTAGAAGAAATGAAGGCTAACACTTGCTAGGAACCATCGCAGCCCTAGGCAAAGGGAAATATTAGAAGACTGTAGTGTGATGCTACTGCGTGGCAGTCAGTTGGAAGATGTGGGTGAGAACCAGAAGGAATCACCCATGCCCAAGTGAGCTTCTTGGATTTGAGTCTTTTCTTGCAGGGCTTGTGGAAGCACCACTCATCCAGTGAAAAATAAACTGGATCTACTGCTATGAGCAATTGACTTATTTACTCAACGCAGACACACACAACAATACCTGTTTTCTCTATTCCTTATCCCTGTCCAAACACTGAAAGTGCAAATGCAGAGAAGGTGCACGTGTGTGTGTTTAGGTGCATAAGAGATTAGAGAGAGCAGAGGGCACAACTTCCGTAGGAGCCACCAGAGCCACCAGTCCATCCTCATGCTAGAGCGGTGGGGAGGAACACATCTCTGAATCAGTGATGATAATGACTTTTTTAAGTGAATGGAATTGTTTTACTAACAAATGTAATTAAAGATTATGCAATCAGACTTAATTTTCATTAAGAAAACCCATTTTTCAAGGAAGAAGATGAGTGGACATCAGCTGAGTAAAACTGGTAGCAGACAGTGAAAAAAAAATGTTGTTTTTTACCCCAATGAGTTGAACCTCTTCACTATCTGAAAGCCAATTTTTCTCATTTACAGGGTTAAAGCTTTGCATGAGTCTTTGTTCATAGTGTTCATTTATTAAGAAAAACATACTTCTTTTTCCCCTCCCCACTGCCTTTGCAAAACCTTTCTTTTTAATTTTTATGTTTTAGAGACAGTGTTTTGCTCTGTTGCCCAAGCTGGAGTGCAGTGGCACCATCATAGCTCACTGTAACCTCGGACTCCTGGGTTCAAGTGATCCTCCTGACTCAGCCTCCCAAGTAGCTAGGACTACAGGTGCACACGCCCATGCCTGGCTAATTTTTAAAATTTTTTGTGGAGATAGGGGTCTCGCTGTGTGGCCCAGGCTGGTCTCAACATCTTGGCCTCAAACAATCCTGCCATTTTGGCCCCCCACAACATGCCCAGCTCAGAAAAACCTACTTGGTATGTTTCATAGCAGTGTCAATTAAGCTTCAGGCCAGCATACACTTAAAATTTTAGATTCGTTTCAGTGAGATACGAAATTATGATTTCCTGTGAAGCAAATCAAACCCCAACTCAAACCAGACCAAAGTAGTCATTATTAAAATCTAGGGGATAGTTTTAACTGGATGCTTTGTCCATGTAACTGTGTAACAGTTACATGGACAAAGAATTCTCAAGGCAGTGGACATAAAAATCTATAATTTAATTTCCTTCTGCCTCTTGCCTTTTCCTTCAATCAATGAATAGGTGAATTAAATATACTAAATCCTTATCACAATTTCCTCTGTGCCCCATGAACACCAGTTTGCCTACTCTCAGAAATAATTGCTTTCTTTCTCTTGGCATGCATCAGTAAACTGAGTGACTGTGAATTGACATTGCTTAGAGAGGAGGTAAACTTCAGGTTCAGAGGTTTAATTTTTTTTAAAAAAGACAACTAAATGCTGCGCTTATATAAGCTTTAAAGGGACAACCCGTGAGCTGCATACTTGGTGAGATTGTCTAAACAAGAATTGCATTCCAAACTGAATCTATTAGGATGCTTCATAACTTCTCAGACCAAGAAGCATGCATCTTACTGTTAAATTTTGAGGTCCAGATGACTTTATTAAAAAAGGTCACTTCATCTGAAGTGACCCTTCAGATGCAGAAAGGAGAGAATTATTAGCATATCAGGGGCATTGATCATCAAGGGCTTTTTCTCTCTTTCACTGTGGATGCTATGGAAGCAGTCTATTGATTCCAGGAAAAAATTCAGCTGCTTTTTAGTTCAGAGAAACTCGACCTCAATGTTTACATTCAGAAGAAAGAAAGAGAAAATGAAAGGAGACTGGCCCATGTCCACCATGTCCTTGATAAAACTGAATGAAAGACATTTTAAAAATCCCTCCTCCATCTGCTTTCTTTTGGTTTAATTAGAGCAGAAAGTGTTAGAAGAAGGGATGTTTGCTCTTGTGAGGAAGAAAATAAGAAACATGCAGCTAGGGGCTTAAATGCTGTTCTCACTGAGATCCATGACTACAGACCAAAAGAACTATTAGACAGAAAAGTTTTATATTTGAAGATAAATTCTAGAAAGAACCCCATATTGATATGGGGCAGAGGCAGGGAAGTGCTAGGTAGAGAAGGATGAGGTCCCTGGAGAAGGCTCCAACCTCAGGACTGTGACCATGGACCTAAGTGAGGACAGATGCTGCTGTTTTCACACCCAAATGTTGCATCTTCCAGGAGCACTCTGGCCTGCCACACCCCTCTTTCTGTGCCTATAAAAAAACCCTGAGACCCTATCGGGTACACACAGAAGTAGCTGGACCTTGAAAGGAACACACCGGCAGAAGAACACACTGATGGATGCCGGCAGGCCATTGACAGCAGAATGATGTGGTGTCGAGGAAAATTTGGTTGGGGGTAGTTGAAGGAGAGTTCAGCTGCTGAGTGGCCTGACTCCAGGGGAAGACCATCTTCCCACTCCATCCCCTTCTGGCTCCCCATCCATCTGCTGAGAGCTATTTCCATCACTCAATAAAATCTCATTCTCCAAGCCCATGTGTGATCTGATGTTTCTGGTACACTAGGGCAAGAACCCCGGGATACAGAAAGCCCTCTGTCCCTGCAATAAGGCAGAGGGTCTAATTGAGCTGATTAACAGAAGCTGCCTGTGGATGGCTAAGCTGAAAGAGCACACTGTAACGCATGCCCCCTGGGGCTTCGGGGGCTGTAAACACTCAACCCTAGACACTGCTGTGGGGTTGGGGCCCAAAAATGCTCCCCATGACCTGCCCGTCTGCATGCTCCCTCAGGAATTTGAGTTGCAGGGCACCTGAGAAATGAGCCGCATCCCCATTGCATGCCCTGCAAGGGGGATAAGGGAAAACTCCTCCTGTTTCAATATTAGACGTGAAGAGGACTGATTTGAAAAGCTGTCAGAATTGGATCCTGGAACAGAAAAAAAAATGTTATTAATGGAAAAACTGAAAACTCAAGTAATCTGGAGTTTATTAGTGTTAGTTCCTTCATTTTAACAAATCTACCACAGTAATATAAGAAGTCAACATTAAGGAAAATTGAAACTGGAAGGGCATACAGGAACTCTGTACTATCTTTGCAACAGTTTTTTTTTTTTGAGACAGGATCTTGCTCTGTTGCCCAGGCTGGAGTGCAGTGGTGCAATCTTGCCTCACTGAAACCTCTGCAAGCCATTCTCATGCCTCCGCCTCCCGAGATGCTGGAATTACAGACATGTGCCCCACACTTGGCTAACTTTTAAATTTTTTGTAGAGTAGGGGGTTTCATCATATTGCCCAGGCTGGTCTCAAACTCCTGGCCTCAAGTGATCTGCCTGCCTCGGCCTCCCAAAGTGCTGGGATTAGAGGCATGAGCCACTGCTCCCAGCATGCAACTTTTGATAAATCCAAAATTACTACAAATAAAATGTTTCTCCCACATTATTCTAAATAAAAACCTCATTTAAAAAAAAGCTCGCCAAGAAGTCTATGCAATGTCCTCCAGTGCTGATGCTCCAGGACACTTTGATGCAAAGATGATGCTTAGAGATCCATTGGATCCTTCAATGAATGGACTGAGCAGGAAGCCATGACCTTTTCTTTAGTTTGAAAAAAAAGAACAAATAAACCCATCTCATTCTAATGATGTGCATCAGAAGACTGGCAATTGCAGTAGGGAATGTCAGGATCCGGGACATTTGTAACCAGAGGCTTCTGTCTTAGAAACTGGATACTGACACCATAATCTTTCAGTCAATGAAGTGGGAATACTAGCATGATGGTACTATGGAATCTAACTTGCCTGAATACCAGCAGCAAAGTAGCCTTCATGTCCTGATAGAGTGAAAGTGAACTCAGAGAAAGCTGCTGAGATTCTAGGGAGAGACAGAACTATGCCTCAGTTTCCTCAGCCATTAAAGGGAATAGGGCATGTTGTCCAAAATTGTTTTCAAAATGAGACTAGTTAAACCAGCTGTCAAGTGTAGTTCTTTCTGGGGTAGAAGTGACATCCTTAATATCATCTCCTTGCCGTCCAAGTTCTGGGATATTCCAACCCTGAGTTACATGGAGGCAGTACCCATATAGGGTAATCCGAGGGAGGGGAAAGGACAGGTTGGTCAGAAATACTGTCCTGCTAAAGCTGAAAAGGACCTGAAATTCTCATCACTCACTTCCTTCAGTTAGGATAGATAAGAGAACACATCTTGTAAAATGTTGCTTTGGTTGAGCAATGTGTCATCAAACAAAACATCAATGCCCCATTAATAGAGCAAGATTAAGGAAAAGTGAGAACCTCAAACCACTTTTGATTGATGGAGGTTAGAAAGGACATAGTATGGAGTTAAGGACATTTATGACTCATCTCCATCTACCTTTCTGGTGTCCTATTCCATCACTCTTTCAGGCCTTAGTACGTACTCAGTTCTCACACACTGTGAGCTCAGGATTCAGGATAGAAATAGTTTCAGGTAAGATCCAGTAGCAGAAAAGTCCTGACAAAAGTCTGAAGGTAGAAATTTTGGAACTGACAAGAGAAGATTGTGGTGCCAGAGGAAGCTTGGTGGATTGGCCCAGGGCGCTGTATCCTTGTCTTAATCGGTTCAGGCTGCTGTAACAATATATCGTAAACTGGGTGCAGTGGCTCATGCTTTAGTCCCAGCATTTTGGGAGGCTGAGGTATAAGGATTGGCTGAGCCCAGGATGTTGAGGCTGTAGTGAGCTGTGCTCATGCTAGTGTCCTCCAGCCTGGGCGATGGAATGAGATCCTGTCTCAAAACACACACACACACACACACACACACACACACACACACACAAATACCATAAACTGGCTTATAAACAACAGAAATTTATTTTTCACCTTCTGGAAGCTGGGAAATCCATCATCAAGGTGCAGGCAGATTCAGTGTCTGGTCAGGGTCCACTTTCTAGTTCATAGAAGGTGCATTTCTGCTGAGACCTCACATGGTAGACGGGCAAGGGGGGTCTCTGGGAGGCATCTTTTATTAAGGACACCAATCCCATTCATGAGGGCTCCACTCTCTTGACCTAATCACCCTCCAAATGCCCCACCTCTTAATACCATCAGCCTTGGGAGTTAGTACTCAAACATACATATTTAGGGGAACATAGCCATTAAGACCTTAGCATCCTCTTTCTGAAAAGAAACTCGATTTTTCCTTCGGAGGTACTTATTGCTCCAACTAACATGCAAAGACAGAAAACCATAGTAGAAGATAATCAGATCTATGGGCTAATTCAAAGCAGATGTGTTGCTCTTTTTCTGAGTTGTCGTCATCCTCTGTCAAAGAATAGAAGACCTTCAGCTTCAAGACAAGTCCAAAACTGGTTAATTAGAATATTTGTATGTCTAATTAAAATTGGAGATAGCTGCTAATTGTCAATTTTATTGGCATTAATTATTATTTTAAGTAGGTAGCCACACATTATTGCCATAGAAAAGGTGACTTTTAAGGTTGGTTCACAAAGATATTTTCCTTACTCAAAAGCACACAGGAGACTCACTATAATGCACCCACCTTATTTAGGGTTCAACATGCTCCTATTGAAAATTATGTTTTCCCCTGCAGTGGAATAATTTTAAAATTCCAATTGCTTTTCCAAGGGCAGAATATTAATATTTACATCTCTCAGAAAGACATGCTTCACCATGGGAGTGCTTAAATGTTACCTAAATTAGCTGTCCTCATAATGAAGTTGATAGAGTCAAAATTGATAATCCTCAACTATTCCTGTAAAAAGCAATGACAATCTTTTACAATCTTTTTTTTTTTTTTTTAGACCAGGTCTCGCTCTGGTCACTCAGGCTGGAGTGCAGTGGTGTAAACTCAGTTCACTGCAGCCTCAGTCTCCCAGAATCAAGCAACCTTCACCTCAGCCTTCCCAAGTAGCTGGGACTACAGGCACACACCACCTTGCCCAGCTAATTTTTGTATTTTATGAAGAGGCGAGGTTTCACCATGTTGCTTAGGTTGTTTTGAACTCCTGGAATCAAGCAATCTGCCAGCCTCGGCCTTTCAAAGGGCTGGGATTATAGGAATAAGCCACCACAACCTACCTAGCAATGACAATCTTGATCTCCCCAGACATTATTTTCCATAGAGTGGCAACATTCTTTTCTACCTCAAATTTCAAAACACTGATCAATAATCAACCAGCAAATAATGCCTTAAAAAAAGAAAAGAGACTAAGAATGTTCTAACCCTTGATCTGGGTGGTGGTTATGAGGGAATATACATGCAAAAACTCATTTTGTGGTACAGTTAAGACTTGTGTCTTACTCTGTTATACTTCACAGAAATGAAGACAAAAATAAGAGTACAAAAGTACAAGGGATGCACAGAAAAAAATAGAGAATTCTCTTAAGAATCTGAACTTAAATGTAAATATCTTGTTAACAAAATTTTCAAAATTCTGATATGTAGATTACTTTGCCCTTATATGATATGTATTAGTGAAAATTGTAAATTTAATAGGCTAGTAAGATAGAGATATGTACTTTGCCAGCTTGAGCGCCTCATCTAGTAATTTCCCCTGAGTCTCTAAAATTCTATTTCTTTAGAATCCTGTGCATACATCTATTATATCACATATCATTTGCAGTTACTGCATTTGTTGTCTACCTTTATGACCAGACTGTAAAAGAAGGGACTGTGGCTTTTTTATTGTGGTAACTAGCACAACCTGGAACATGGGAGATGCTTTATACTTTTTAGAAAATCGGCTTCATGGATGTATAACTTATGTACCATAAAATTACCATTTTTTTTTTTTTGATACAGACTCTCGCTCTGTCACCCAGGCTGGAGTGCAGTGGCACGATCTCAGCTCACTGCAACCTCTGCCTCTTGGGTTCAAGCGATTCTCCTGCCTCAGCCTCCTGAGTAGCTGGGACTACAGGCACGTGCCACCACACCCGGCTAATTTTTTTGTATTTTTAGTAGAGACAGTGTTTCACCGTGTTAGCCAGGATGGTCTCGATCTCTTGATCTTGTGATCTGCCTGCCTCGGCCTCCCAAAGTGCTGGGAATACAGGCATGAGCCACCGTGCCAGTGTCATGACAACTGTTTCAGACACATAACCATCACCACGATCAAGATATAGAACATTTCCATCACTCCAAAAACCTCCCTCTGTGTCCTTTGCAGTCAATCTCCTCTCCCTGCCCCCAGCTCATGATCCTGGCACTCACCAATCTGCTTTCTGTGACTAGATTCTAACTTTTCTAGCATTTCATAAATGAAATCATAAAGTGCATATGTGTTGTGTTGTATGCCTTATCAGAATACAGAGGGTAGTTTAAATTAGAATCTCAGCTTTGGGTGCTGATGGTGAAGTTGAGTGCTTTCTCTCTGAGTTGCCCTGGGGAAAGAGTCTCCATTTCCAGTTTACAAGACCAGTGTATTGGGTTATACTACAAAGGCAGGTTCATCTAAGTAGCTTATTTTCGATTAGGGAGTCGAGTGGTATTAGGGTAAGAATCGTAGTGAAGTATACTATGGATACTACTTGTCCAATGGTAATAAAGGAGTGGCTTACTGGTTGTCCTCCGATTCATGTAAGGATTAATAGGTTGGTGACTAAGGGTCAGTATAAGTATTGACTTAGTGGACGGAATATTATACTTTGCTGTTTAGATGTGTGAAGTGCAGGGATGGCTGCTAGAATAAGAATCGATAGCAGGAGGGCCAGTACGCTTCCTAGTTTATTAGGGATAGACTGTAAGATTGCATATGCGAACAAAAAGCATCATTCAGGTTTAACGTGGGGTGGAGTCTTTAGGGGACTGGCTAGGGTGTGGTTGTCTGGGTCACTTAGGAGGTCAGGTGTAAATGGCACTAGTGTTATTAAAGTGAGAAAAAGGAGTATTAAACCTGGAATATCTTTGATGGTGTAGTAAGGGTGGAAAGCGATTTTATCAGAGTGAGGAGATTCCTGTAGGTTATCAGACCCTGTTTAATGGCGGAATAGTAGGTGAAGGGCTGCTAGGGCTGCAATGATGAAAGGTGAGATAAAGTGGAAAGTGAAGAATCGTGTGAGAGTAGGCTTGTCAACTGAATATCCACCTCAGACTCATTGGACAAGGTCAGTTCCGATACATGGAATGGTGGATAATAGGTTTGTGATTACTGTGGCACCTCAGAATGATATTTGGCCTCATGGAAGTACGTAACCTACAAAGGCTGTTGCTATGGTTGTGAGCAGAAGGATAACACCAATGTTTCAGGTTTCTAAAAACAAGAATGAGCCATAATATAAGCCTCAGCTGATGTGTAGGAAGAGGCAGATGAGGAATATTGAAGTGCCGTTAGCATGGAGGTAGCGGATGGTTCAGCTGTAGTTTATGTCTCGGCTATAATGTGGGTGATTGAGGAGAAGGCGGTTGAGGTATCTGGTGTATAGTGTATAGCTAGGAATAGGCCTGTAATGATCTGAAGGATTAGGCAGGTGCCAAGAAGTGAGCCGAGATTCCGTCATATAGAAATATTGGATGGAGTGGGAAGGTCAATGAATGAGTGATTGATTATTTTTATTAGTAGATTTGCTTTACGTACTATGGTCATTAGTGTCCTTATAGTTGAAATACAACTATGGTTTTTCATGTCATTAGTCGTGGTTATAATCCATGTAGGAAGAATGACATATGCTTTATTCTTGTTAAGTATTCTTTTAGTTATGGGGTTTGTAGGTTTTTCTTCTAAACCTTCTCCTATTTATGGGGGCTTGGTGTTAATTATTAGTGGTGTAGTAGGTGGCATTATTGTTCTAAATTATGGTGGGGCTTATATGGGTCTAATAGTCTTTTTGATCTATTTAGGGAGAATGATGGTTGTTTTTGGTTATACTATGGCGATGGCTATTGAGGAACACCCAGAGGCATGAGGGTCAGGCATTGAAGTTTTAGGGAGTGTCCTAGTGGGCTTAGTAATGGAACTGGCATTAGTTTGGTGGGCAGCAGAGTATGATGGAGTGGTGGTTGTAGCAAATTTTAATAACATGGGAAGTTAAGTGATTTTTGAGGGGAGGGGCCAGGGTTAATTCAGGAGGATTCTATGGGGTGTGGGTGCTTTATGTGATTATGGACTTTGACTGGTGGTGGTTACTGGTTGGACATTGTTTGTTGGTGTTTATATTGTAACTGAAATTGCTCAGGGCAATAGATTATGCAATTAAAGGTAAGGTTAGGACAGGTGGAATGAAGAAAGAAAGGAAATAAAATTTAATTATGGCTTTTTGAGCGGTTGTAGTAATGGAGGCAGTGATTTGGGTTTGTGAGATTGTCTTTGGTATAAATTTTTCTAGTCAAATTAGATCTAGTAGGAGTGATACCAGATTTTGGCTTACAGATAGATTTAAGTGGGGGTTGTGCGGTGAACTGTGAACTGTGAACTGTGTGTATTCTTTCATTTAGAATAATGTCATTGAGATTTATCCATGTTGTTGAATATGTCAGTACTTCCCTATTTCTTTTACTGATCAGTGTTCTATTGCATGGATATATCAGAGTTGATTCATTCAACAGTTGAAAGCTACTATGAACGTTCCAGTCTGACCATGTGCTTTCATTTTTCTGGGTTAATTTCCTTGGAAATTTGATTGCTGTGTTGAATGGTATGGGTATTCTTAAATTTATGAAAACCTGGTAAATTATTTTCCAAAATAGCTCTACTATTTTGCATTCTCATTATCAATATGTAAGAATTCAAGTTTCTCCTTATACCTCATTGGTAGATAGCCATTCTAAACAGTGGGTAGTAGTACCTCCTTTTGGCTTCACTTTCATTACTTTACATTCTAGTTAACTTTTATTTCCCAAGGAGGGGAGATGATAAGCATTTTTGTGCTTTTTGTCATTTGCATACTTTCACTGGTGATTTGTCTGTGTAAATCTTTGGCCCATTGGAAAAATTGGGTTGTTTTTCTTATTACAATTGATTTGTAAATGTTGTGTATTCTGAATCAAACACCTTTATCAGATAAGTGTTTTATAAATATTTTCTTCCAGGTTGTGGTTTGCATTTGGAAATTTTAACTGTATCTTTCAAAATAGTTTTTGCTTTGATAAAATCTAATTTATAAGTTTTTTATGACTCATGTGTTTCCATGGCTACCATATTGCTACTCATTTTCTATTTGCTCAGTTGTTTGTGTCTTTCTTCCTCTTGTCCTACCTTCTATTGAAGTAATTTAGTGTTCTGTGTGATTTCATTTTACTTCCACTATTGGCTTATTAGCTATATATTTTTTTTAATTGTTGCTTTGTGATTCACAATTTACATTTTTTACTTATTGCACTGGAAGCAACTATATTTTGAGTTGTAGCAGAAGCAAAAGAAGCCTTTCAGAGCTTCCCTTATCTGACTAAAGTCAGAGCCTTCTGAGAGTGATACTGCCATAAATTCCCTCCTTGGGGGAGCTTCACAACCAGTAAGGAGGCCAACCCCTAGCACTGGGATGAAAAATTGCACAGACAAGCATTATCGCAAACTATCAGACCTGCCATTAGTCTTCCTAAAAGCCCATCATTTTTCCATAGACGTCCTTTCCTCTCCCTTGCTTTCTTCTATGAGTTGGTATATAAACCCCTCTTTCCAGCTGTTCAATGAGACTCTTCATCAAATGCTCCTTCATGCCTGTGTAAATAAACCTTGTCTTTTCTTCTGTTAATCTGTCTATTGTCATTTAATTTGCAGGCCCCTGATCGCAGGACCTAGGTTGGTAGAGGGAAATTTCCGTTTTTGCTCCCAAAACAGCCTATCTTCAAATTATATTATAGCACTTCCCAAATAGTATAAAAACTTTTGAACATTATATTTTTTCCTCTCTTATACCTTGTGCTGTTGTTTTCATGCATTTTTCTCCAACATGTAATAAATCCATTACACTTTTTATTTTGTTTCCCCTAAGCAGTCACTTATTTTTAAAGAGATTATAAAATTAGTAAAATATGTTTTATATTTCTCAGATAATTTTTATTACTAGCATTTTTCAATTTTTTGTGTATAGGATTATGCTGGAAAATTTTACCATTTCATATAGAGCAAACCTGCTGGCAATGATTTTTCTCAGTTTCTATTTTTCTGGAAGTGTTTATTGCACATCATTTTTGAAGATATTTTTACTGGGTATATAATTGTAGCTTGACAAGATTTTTTACTTTTTGTTTTTTCTTTAAACATTTTAAAGGTTTCTCCTCCATCATCTCTAGCTTTCATAGATCCTTACGACCAGTACTCTATCATTCTTATATTTTAAACTTTGTACATACTATGTCTTTCCCATTTAAATGTTTTTAATATTTATCTGTTTATCACAGATCTTTGACAATTTGATTATAATATTTCTTTGCATCATTTTCTTTATGTTTATTCCTCACGGAGTTTGTAGAACTTTATAAATATTTGATGTTATACTTTTTAAATACTTAAATTTGGAATACTTTCAACATCCATATCCACAAATATTTTTCTCTTCCTCCCCAACCCTGCCCTTCCTGGAAATCACAATGTACATACATTAGATTTTTTTTGGTATTATCCCACTACTCATGGATGCCTTTTCATGACTCAGCATTTTGTTTCACTTGTTTTTGTGCCATGTTTTGTACAATTTCTATTGTTACGTCATTAGGGTTACCCATCTTTTCTTTTACATTGTCTAACCTTTGTTAAACATATCAACTGTATGATCTGCTATTAATCTAAACCAATATATTTATATTTTAAATGTTGTATTTCTCACATTTAAAAGTTTCATTTAGGTCTTTTTTGTATCATTTCTTTTTTTATTTATTTTATTTTTATTTCTTTGTATTCTATTTATTTTAAATTTGTATAGGTACATAGTAGGTATATATCTTTATGGGCTACATTAGATATTTTGATACAGGCATACAATGCATAATAATCACATCAAGGTAAATGGGTTATCCATCACCTCAAGTATTCATCATTTATTTGTGTTACAAACATTCCAAGTATACTTTTAGTTACTTTTAGATGTATAATAAATTATTCTTGACTGTAATCACCCTGTTGTGCTATCAAATACTAGATCTTATTTATTCTATCTATTTTGATTTTTGTACCCATTAATCATCTCCCCTCTTCCCCCAACTACCTTCCCAGCCTCTGGTAAACATTCTATCTCCATGAGTTCAATTGCTTTAACTTCCACAAATGAGTGAGAACATACAAAGTTTGTTTTTCTGTACCTAGCTCTTTTCACTTAACATAATGTCTTCCAGTTCCATTCATGTTGTTGCAAATGACAAGATCTCATTCATTTTTTTATGGCTGAATTGTACTCCATTGTGTATAGGTACCACATTTTCTTAATCCATTTGACTGTTGATAAACACTTAGGTTGCTTCAAATCTTGGCTATTGTGAATAGTGCTGCAGTACACATGGGAGTGCAGATAACCTTTAAATATACTTATTTCCTTTCTTTGGGGTATACACCGAACAGTGGGATTGCTGGATCATATGGGAGTTCTATTTTTAGTTTTCTTTTTTTTTTTGAGATGGAGTTTCACTGTTGTTGCCCAAGCTGGAGTGCAGTGGCATGATCTAGGCTCACTGCAACCTCCACCTCCAGGGTTCAAGTGATTCTCCTGCCTCAGCCTCCCAAGTATCTGGAATTACAGGCGCCCGCCACCACGCCTGGCTAATTTTTTGTATTTTTAGTAGAGACAGATTTTTGCCATGTTGGCCAGGCTGGTCTTGAACTCCTCACCTCAGGTGATTTGTGTGCCTCAGCCTCCCAAAGTGCTGGGATTACAGATGTGAGCCACCGTGCCTGGCCTTATTTTTAGTTTTCTGAGGAACCTCCATACTATTCTCCATAGTGGCTATACTAATTTACATCGCCTCCAACAGTATACAAGAGTTCCTTTTTCTCCGCCTCCTCACCAGCATTCATCATTGCCTGTCTTTTGAATAAAAGCCATTTTAACTAGGGTAAGATGCTATCTCATTGTAGTTTTGATTTGCATTTCTCTGATGATCAATGATATCAAGCACCTTTTCATATATCTCTTTCCCATTTGTATAGCTTCTTTTGAGAAATGTCCATTCATATCTTTTGCCCATTTTTTAATCATGTTATTAAGTTTTTTTCCTATTGAGTTGTGTGACCTCCTTACAATGTCTCATTATTAATCTTTGTCAGATAGTTTGCAAATATTTTCTCCCATTCTGTGGGTTGTCTCTATACTTTGTTGATTGTTTCCTTTGCTGTACAGAAGCTTTTTAACTTGCTATGATCCATTTGTCTGTTTTTGCTTTGGTTGCCTGTGCTTTCGGGTGCTCAAGAAATCTTTGCCCAGACCAATGTCCTGGAGAGTTTCTTCAATGTTTTTTCTAGTAGTTTCATAATTTGGTATTGGATTTAAGTCTTTAATCCATTTTGACTTGACTTTTGTATATGGTGAGAGACAGGGGTCTGGTTCCATTCTTTCTGCATAGGAATATTCAATTTTCCCAGCACCATTATTGAAGAAACTGTCATTACTGTTCTTTGTTGACAGGAACAAACATTCCCCAATGTCTTTTTCTGGTACCTTTGTGAAAAATGAGTTCACTGCAGATATATGGATTTACTTCTGGGTTTTCTATTTTGTTCTATTTGTCTACATGTCTTTTTATGCCAGTACTATGATGTTTCATTTACTGTAACTCTGTAGTATAATTTGAAGTCACATAAAATGATTTCTCTAGTTTGTTCTTTTTAGAAACTCAGGATGGCTTTGGCTATCCTGGGTCCTATGTGTTTCCATATAAATGTTAGTATTCTTTTTTCTATTTCTATGAAGGATATCATTAGTATTTGATGGTGATGGCATAGAATCTATAGATTGCTTTGGATTAGGTAGTATGGACATTTTAACAATATTGAGTCTTCCAATCCATGAACATGGAATACCTTTCCATTTTTTAGAATTGTCTTCAGTTTCTTGCAGCAGACTTTTACAGTTGTCATTGTAGAGTTCCTCACTTCTTTGGTTAAGTTTATTTCCAGGTATTTTATTTTATTTGTAGCTATTATAAATGGGATTACTTTCTTGATTTTTTTCATGTTGTTTGCTGCTGGCCTATAGAAATGCTACTGATTTTTGTATGTTGACTTTGTATCCTGCAACTTTACTGAATTTATCAGTTCAAATAGTTTTTTGTTGGAGTCCTTAGGTTTTCCTCATATCATCTGCAAAAAAGGATAATTTGACTTCTTCCTTTCCAATTTGGATGCTCTTTATTTCTTTCTCTTGTCTGACTGCTCTAGCTAGGACTTCCAGTACTATGTTGAACAACAGTGGTGAAAGTGAGCATCCTTGTCTTGTTTCAGATCTTAGAGGAAGGGTATTTCTTTCTTAATCATATTCACATGTTCTGTTCTTAAACATACTGAACATATATATGACAGCTATTTTAACATCTGTACCTGCTAAATTTGTCATCTCTGTCATTTGTGAATCAGTTTATCTTGATTAATTTTTCTACTGTTTAATATTTCCCTGCTTGTTGAGATGTCTGTTAATTTTCTATTGGATGTCAGCCATTGTGGATTGTATATTTTTGTGTCCTGAGTTTTGTTTTATTCCTTTAAATGATGATGTATTTTCCTGGCATGCAGCTAAAGTACTGATGACACTTAGATTTTTTCAAGTCTTTTGAGGTTTGTTAGAGTAAATCCAGTTTAGTCTTTAGATTTTGGCTAATTTATCTCCACTCCTAAGATGATATCCTCTCAGAGCTCTATCTGAAGCCCAGTGTATTAAGAGGTCATTCCACTCTGTCTGGTGGAATTGCAAAAGATTTCTAGCCTTATGTGAGTTTAAAAAATATTTATTTTACTGCTTTCTATGCTTATTTCCATGCTCTTGCATAGTTCTTATACATACCAAAGATTGGAGGGAAACCATCACCCCTGCAGATCCTTGGAGCTCTCTCTGTACAGTTCTTTCTCTCCAGTAATCTGCTTCAAAAATTCTAAAGATTTTTTTCTTTTTTCTTTTTCAACACTGAGCTCAATATACTCTATGCAAAAAGAATATTGGGCTGCAACTAGGTATCCCCTTTCTATGCTGCCTCCTGAAAACTTAGTCTGGGCAAGAAGCTGGAATAATCTCTGAGTTTACCTCATTTGTTTCCCCTCTTTTAGGAATCACAGTCCTAAACTACATATTGTCCAATGTCTGACAATCATTATTTTATATATATATATATATATATTTTTATAATGTTTTAGTAGTTTAAGATGAAACGTTAAGTCTGGTCCCTGTTTCATGGTGATATCCAAAATTATTCTTACTCTAGATAAATTTTTAAGTGAAGACAAAAAAAATCATGGTTATGTAATGCATCAATTATGTAAATTTCAGAGAAATAGCAGAGAAGTTAGACAATAGAATCAGGATTCAAGGGTATCTTATCATAGAAAAAAATGGGAAGTAGAATTACACCAGTGAATGTCAATTGCCATATTTAGGTTTAGTGCAAATGGTAGTGAAAGTGAGGCATGGTAGCTCTAGTTTAATAGAAGTTTATATAAAAATACCTTAAGACTTGGTAATTTTACAAAAATTCTAGGCATAATGGCTTTATTAAAGAGATTATTTTGGCTGGGCACAGTGGCTCACACCTGTAATCCCAGTACTTTGGGAGGCCAAGGTGAGTGGATCACCTGAGGTCAGGAGTTTGAGACCAGCCTGACCAACATGGAGAAACCCCGTCTCTACTAAAAATACAAAATTAGCTGGGTGTGGTGGTAGACATCTGTAATCCCAGCTGCTTGGGAGGGTGAGGCAGGAGGATCGCTTGAGCCTGGGAGGCAGTGGTTGCAGTGAGTTGAGATTGCACCACTGTACTCCAGGATGGGTGACACAACGAGACTCTGTCAAAAAAAAAAGAAAGAAAAAGAAAATGAAAAAAAAAATAAATATCAGAGAATCTTTTGAATCATTGGAGCAGATAAAAATCTAAGTTTCATATTAACAAATTCTTTGTGCCTTTGAATAGGAAATAGATCATATTGGCCAATCTATTGGCCCAATAGTGACTAAGGAAGCCACATCCCTCGTTGCTTGAGAAGTGTATTTTTCCTGGTATCAGTGGCATTTCTATGGTATTTCTCTCTAAAGTACTTGTCTTTTCTTTCTTTCTTTTTTTTTTTTGAGACAGAGTCTCACTCTGTCGCCAGGCTGGTGTGCAGTGGTGCGGTCTCGGCTCACTGCAACCTCCGCCTCCTGGGTTCAAGCAATTCTCTGCCCCAGCCTCCCAAGTAGCTGGGATTACAGGCACCTGCCACCACGCCTGGCTAATTTTTTGTATTTTTAGTAGAGACGGGGTTTCACCGTGTTAGCCAGGATGGTCTCGATCTCCTGACCTCGTGATCCGCCCACCTCGGCCTCCCAAAGTGCTGGGATTACAGGCATGAGCCACCGCGCCCGGCCTTGTCTTTTCTTTTCATCCTTCCACTCTACTTCCTGAGAGGTCCTGCATAGGGATTAATTCCAGCTCATATGTGTCCTTGTTATATATGATTTTTAAAGACTACAAAATACAAAATTAGGTGGGCATGGTGGTGGGTGCCCGTAATCCCAGCTACTGGGGAGGATGAGGCAGAAGAATCAGTTGAACTAGGGAGTCAGAGGTTGCGGTGAGCGGAGATTGTACCATTGCACTCCAGCCTGGGCAACAAGAGTGAAACGTCATCTAAAAAAAAAAAAAAAAAAAAGATTTTTTTTTAATGCAGTCCTAAAAAAGGGCATTAATAGTAATATATGTGGTTTAGTCCATTTTATGCTGCTAGAACAGAATACCTGAGACTGGGTAACTTATTTAAAAAAAAAAAAAAAAAGAGTTATTCTTACCATTCTGGAGCCTAGGAAGTCCCAGATCAATGGATCAGCATCCAGAGAGGGCCTTTGTGCTATGTCATCCCATGGCAGAAGGTGGAAAAGAGATTGTGAGCCCAAGAAGGGGCTGAACTTACTTTTATAACAAACCCACTGTCTTGATAATGAATCCACTCCCACGATAATGACATTAATCTATTTGTGAGGGCAGAGCTCTCATTACTTAATCACCTCTTAAATGTCCCACCTTTCAACATTGTTCCATTTGGGGATTAAGGTACCAACACAGGAAACTGGGGGACACATTCAAACCATAGCAATAGGTGTTTGTTATAAATCAAAGGATTTATAATTATCACTATGTACTTCTATACTGTCCTGTTTAGAACTTTTATAAATATGACCTATCACCTTTAAGTGGAGGCATTATAACGGGAACAAGAAAGCAAACATTGCTGCCTTGAATTAGAGGTAGAACACCACACCCAAATGGCCCAAACCTGGTGGCTAGAGATCAGAACTTAGAGGCATCATTCCTGCCTTGCAGACTGGACTTCTCACATTCCCATTGCCTCCTTTTAAATAGACCATTCAGACAATTGCCACAAACTTAAAGTAACCCACACCCTATTCCCTTATATATGGCACTGTCTAGGATATGAAGAAATGGTGCTGGTATATATGTACAAGGTAGAACCACCTTCAAACACAATTTGTTCCCTAAAAATTTAAACATAAACTTACGATACAACCTAGCAATTCTACTCCAATGCCTACCCAAGAGAAATAATATAAATAATATATACAGTCACATGCAAACTTTTATAGCAGCATTATTAATAACAGTCCAACACTGGAAACAATTCAAATATTTGTGACTTGATGAAAGGATAAACAAAGTATGATATATTTATATAATGGAATATTATTCATCAATTAAAAGAAACAAAGTATTAATATATATTTCAACATGGATGAACCTTAAAACCTTATGCTGAGTGAAAGAAGTCATACTCCAAGACCTATATTGAATGATTCTATTTATATAAAATTCCCAGAAAAACAAACGTATACAGACAGAAAGCAGCTTAGTGGTTGCTGGGACTGGAGGTGAGAATGGGAATTGACTGCAAACCAGCAAATGTAAGTGACGAAACTTGTCTAAATTGGACTGTGTTGATGGTTGCATAACTCTATAAATTGACTAAAAATCATTGAATTAATTGTACACTTACAATCAATGTATTTTATGATATGTGACTTTTGCCTTAATAATCCTGTCAAAAGTGAGAAGGTCAGGAAGCAGTCATTCAGCCAAACACAAGCGGGATGTGGATATAGCAAGTTCTCTGTAAACTGCTGTAACCCCTGACATGAATAACAACATGAATCAATCTCTGCATCTCTCAATTCTACTTCTCTCTGTCTGTGTGTGTGTGTATGTGTGTGTGTGTGTGTTTTATCTATACTTTCTGTGCACTATATTCTCTTCATGTCAAGAAACATGGCTTCTTGGCTTACATTTATTAACACTCTTCGTTGAGAGGGGCTGGAAACTAACTCCCTTTTGCAGTTACAACTTCCAAAGAAGAATACTGATTAGTTTGGTTTGAATCCCAATGCCCCTCTGTGTCAATTAATAATCAATAATCAATCAATAATCAATGTGTGTGTGTGTTTGAATGTGTTATCACACATACCTGTGAAATCTTTCTCCTCAATTGGTTTAATCATAACTAATCCTTAGGATATTTCTATTAGATAGAAATATTTTTCTATTTTATAGATGGGGAAACTGACACTTACCGATGTTAAAATCCATGATGAAAGAAATATGGATAAAGTATTGTTGCCAGAATTTGAACTACATTTGTCAAGCCATAAAATTTTTGGCCTTTTCTCTAAATTGTAACTCTTTTTTTGATCATTTCCCTGTCCTGAGAAGTTGGGTTCTATATCACCTGGATTTCAGTGAGTTAGATGGCCTCTAATTTTTCTAGATAAAATATAATTTTCTGAACACATCCGAAATATATAGTTGCCCTGATATCTGAATGAATGAATATTTTCTCTCATATCTAGTGCTTTCATTTTCATAGCTCATGTGTTAACTTCTTTTTGCTCTACACCACTAGTTCTCTGCTTTTCTTCAGGCGTCCTAATGTCTAATTTTCAACAGTTTCCCTCCAAATGAAAATCATGATTGGTATGGTAAGCATTTGGAGTTTTCTTATTGATTTTTGCCTTGGGTGAAGAGGTTAATTAAATGTGAATTTTAAGCCTACAACATGATTAGGAGAGTGAAACAACCAGAATTCATGAATACTTCCGGGCCATTAAAACTATTTAAAATGAACAATGACTGAAGGTAGGGGAAAGGAGGTGAGGTGGGGGAGATAGACTAGCCCACTGTTATTTGTGACTGGATTAATGAAATTGTGAAGAATAACAGAATCTTTCTAAAACATTCAAGTCCAGCTGGATTTTTATTTTGCATTTATATTGACATTACCATGGAATATAATACATTCCTAATAAACCATTCTTCCATATTCTTTTTGTTTCTTCCATTTCAAATTGCATCACAGAGCCCTGAGCTTATCCAAATCAACAGACCAGACTAGAGGATGAAGGGATTCGTATGCTATTGACCCTTAAAGAGTCAGCAGGACAACTTTCTTAAACTGGAGAAGGATTTACAGACTCAGCATTTTCATGCTCCCTGTGTTTCAGGAAGATCTTTTGGAGGTCATACTTGAAAACACAAATCAGGGTGCCTTTTATCTCAAAAAGGTGCTGAAAAATCATTACATGCAAATGATTTATTGTACTTTTGTTCTATTGCAAAAATATATCCCAAACACAAGAAACACAATAATAATACTATTGCATTTTAATTTATAATGGGCATAGTCCTGTTCACAATGTAATGAGGTGAATAGATTGATAAGTATAATGCAGGCTGTAGAAATGACACGACACGCTAAATGGGGCAGTAACACTTCAGAATCAATCTTAGAACACTAAAGAAATCTATTGCCATTATGATTCCATCCAGGCAAATATCTATTGTGCAGAGATAACAGAAAATATATACGCATATCAACTGACTTAGAATCAAGGACTCAGCAAAATGGAAGTTAAAAATCAGTCTAGAATCAGGTATTTCAGATGAAAGGATTAAAAACCCTGACAAACGCTAAACTGATAGCAAGATAAGGCTGAGGAAAGGAAGACTGAAAGATTTTCCTGTTAAGAGACTGCGAAACCATCCACCAAAGCATGAGGACAATTTCTGCATTTCACACATTCAGGACAATGACAGCACCTAGGCTCTGGGCAATGTGGCACTGACTTTTGTCTTAAAAGCTTCAGCAGATCAAGGCCAAAGGCAGTAACATCCAAGTCAAGACTGATTGCTTTGGAGTAAAATAGGATTCATTTGGGAATAGTTCTACTGTCTGTAGAAGCTAACTGGTAGAACCTAAAGTTTCCTAGTGTCACCAGAATGATGATAGGACCTCGATTTCTTTTTCAAGTTTTCCTCTTCACTCCAGGGGACTCCACTGTGTCCACAATGAGTGACACAGTGAGTCACACATGTGCTTCTGATATGATCCTGGTCACTGCCTCTGCCACTCACTTTACTTGGCTACAGATGACCAGTCTTGCCTGCACACATCAACTTCCGTCTGCACAAGTCTGGGGCAGCAAATACTACCTTAGAGGGGATCTGTCAGCCTTGGGACTAATGACATTTTGGGCCAGACAACTCTTTGATTTAGGGGTCTGTCCCATGCACTGCAGGATGTTTAGCGTCATCCCATGGCCTCTACTCATTAGATCTCAGAGGCTTTCTCATTTTTATGACAATAAAAAATATCCTCACACATTGTCAAGTGTCCCTTGGAGGGGCAAAACTGTGCCTGGTTGACAACCAGTGCTTTAGAAGTTGCTATCTTTAATGTAATGGCTTTAGGGCCATGGTCAGCTTAGCTAAACCCAGATTGTATATTTATCAAAAGAGTAAGGAACATTTGAAGATTAAGGAAGCATCTAATGCAGAAGAAACTTACAACTTACTACTAGATGACGTTGTTCTCAGGACCTGGAAGCCTATCCCCATTGAATGTCAAATAGGGATCTCCCTAGATGTCTACAAAGCAACCTCCTTGACTAACTAGAGGAATGCTCTGTTGTAGAGCTTCCCGTCACCCAGAGCTACACTTAAGTGTCTGTATTGCCAGCACACTAGACTCAATGGAGTCAGGGTTAGAGAAAATAGTTTCCTTCTCATCTACTGTGTCATAAATCTTTTTCCAGGCTCTGAATCATTTCAGACAAGTTCACAGATTGAATATCCACTCCCTTCCAGGGAAACTCTACCCTCTACTCTTGTGTGCGTCCTTGCTATATGTTCTTAACAGAAAATTACTTTAGAACTTAGTAGCACAAGAAGTACACATAGAGCAGCAACTGGGTGACTTTTTCATATTTTCTTCTTCAGAATTACATAAATGATAACTTTTTTATTTGTAATATTTATCAACATTTTCTTTCTTGAATCTTAAACATCAGTATAAGTAGAATTTCAGCAGTTGTGTTTTGCATGTTTTGCCCAGTTCCCAGAATAGTGTGTGCCACATAAATCATACTAAATAAATAATTGAATTATTGAATACATGAAAACAATGTAATTTCCTTTTATGCTCTTTCCTACTGAATAGAGGGAAGATCTTAATGCTATATATGTTCTTTTTTAAAACTCAGCTTCAAGTCTCCCATTCAAAAACAAACAAAATTCTGTAGTCACTGGACTTAGGTTATTATTACTCATTTTACAGATAAGGAAACTAAGACCTGGTAATATTAAATAATGTGTCAATTGATAAGTTAGTAAGTGTCAGACCTGATACTTCAAATCCAGGTCTGCCAGATTCCAAAGTCCATGTTCTGATGACCACAGCAAAACACACATCTAAGTTTCTCCTCCCCATCTAGAGCCTGTTACTGCCTCTCCAGGCAAGTTCACATCACATCCCAGAGGATGGTGCCCCTTGCAAGTTTACACAAGAGATGAATTCTACCTTCTATTGCTTCTCCAACTGCAGAATTCTTCTTGGGGGTTCTTTCAGAAGTTGCCTGCTCACTGACTTAAAAAGGTACATTTAGAGGGGAGCCTTTTAATTCTTGCTTTCTGGACATTAAGTTAGAGGGACTGCTTGCATGTTTAATGAAGGTATAAGCCAAAGAAGAAGCACCAAGATGGTGAAGATGATAGATGCAGGAGGCAGGTAAGGGGGAGGGTCCCTGGAGAATCTCCGACACACCTGTGCGTTGAGAGGGTGGGGTGGAGCCTCAGGAAGTTCATGTCATTTTCAGTACAGAGAAGCCTGGTCTCTTCAGTTCCTGTGTGTGTGGCCTGGAATCCATCTGGGAGGTGGGGTGCCTGTTAGCAGGACTCCGTCTCACTTTGCTGAGGGATTTTTTTTTCTTTTTTTTCCTTTTCATCCAATAAAATCCTGCTCTACTCACCCTTCAATGTATCTACATGCCTAAATTTTCCTGGTTGTGCGACCCTAACCTGGTTTTAGCCAAACTAAGGAGTAAAATTCTACAACAAAGAGACTTGAAAGAATCAGGATGTATGGGCCGGGTACGGTGGCTCATGCCTGTAATCCCAACACTTTGGGAGGCTTAGGTGGACGGATCACCTGAGGTCAGGAGTTCAAGACCAGCCTGGCCAACATGGTGAAACCCCACCTCTACTAAAAATACAAAAATTAGCCGGGCATGGTGGCGAGTGCCTGTAATCCCAACTACTTGGTAGGCTGAGGCAGGAGAATCACTTGAACCTACAAAGCAGAGGTTACAGTGAGCCGAGATTGTGCCACTTCACTCCAGCCCGGGGGAAAGAGCAAAAATTCCGTAAAAAAAAAAAAAGCCAGGTGCAGTTGCTCACACCTGTAATCCCAGCTCTTTGGGAGGCCAAGGTGGGCGGATCACGAGGTCAAGAGATCAAGACCATCCTGGCCAACATGATGAAACCTCGTCTCTGCTAAAAATACAAAAATTAGCTGGGCTTGGTGGCATGCGCCTGTACTCCCTGCTACTTGGGAGGCTGAGGCAGGAGAATCGCTTGAACCTGGGAGGCAGAGGCTGCAGTGAGCCAAGCTCGCGCCACTGCACTCCAGTCTGGGTGACAAGAGCGAAACTCCATCCCAAAAAAAAAAAAAAAAAAGAATCAGGAGGTATGAGGAACAAACTTGGAGGAGTGAATTGAGAGTTAAGGTGTGTGTGCTCAAAGACTGCCTTCTGTGGGGGAGTTAAACTATGCAACAACAAGGCATAACTTAGGACCGAAGGATGGAACTTACAGGAGACAGATTTCAGGTCAGTAGAAGGAAAGAATCTAATATCTGGAGCCACATTCAATACCATAGGAGGCAGTGAGTTTCAAATCCCTTTGGACACTTTAACCAGAAGCTGGACTATATCATAAAGGAAAATCCATGCATCAGATCGGTGGTTGTTCAAGATGATCCTTTGATTGGATAACTCTGGACACTTGGAAAGATGCTAGAAAATAAGGAGAACATCATACAATCCAATGAACCAAAAATTCAAGAAGATCTTGCCATTGGGAAAATGGCCTATTTTTTTGATTCCCCTGAATAGGAGATGCTACTTGAACAATATTTAGATTCATTAACAAGAATCAGAAGAACAATTCCTTTGCCTTATCATGGGGTGTGTGCACGCATATGAATTCAGTTCATAAGGCAACGTTAACCACTTTGAAATGATGATTACTTTTTAAACTAAATTTATTTTTAATTATTATGAGTATATAATAGTTGTATATATTTCTGGGGTACATGTAATGTTTTGACACAGGCATACAACATATAATGACCAAATCAGGGTAATTGGGGTATCCATCACCTTAAGCATTTATGTTTCCTTGAGTTAGGAACATTGCACTTAAAACTTTTATTATAATAATCATAGTGAGATTATAAAAATAATAAAATTACTACAAATCCATGGCTATATAAAAATCAGGATGTGTCTTCATTTGCAGCTTAGTGAGGTGAAGAGCTCTCGTAGTTTCTCCTCTAGCCTGGGAATGCCCTCCCTCGCCAGTGAGGCCTAGAAGAGTAGCAACTCCTCCGTCTGCCAACAAGCTGTCCAGAGAGCAGAGGGGCAGCCTAGGCAGCCTGCTCAGTGTCCACACCTGAAGTTTCTGGGTCCATAAAGAGGCTGTGAGCATAAAGGATTTGGTTAAAGGAGAAAAGAGAAAGGGAGGAAGCATGTTATTAGAAGTTTAATGAAGGAGGAAAAGTTTTCTTACTTATAGAAAGTAAGAAAAGACACAGAGGAGGTATTTAATTCATATTTGGCTTAGTTCTTGTCTGAGTTAATGTCGAGAGACATGGAAATATCTAATACTTTTTTTCCAACTATTCCTCTCAGCCCGCCACTGGTTACCTTTTCTTCAACTGTAATTCGAACAATGTACTTGGCTTTCTTGAGTTGTATCTGTGAATCTTTACAACAATGCACCATGGAAATCAGCAATAAATGTTCCTTTCTCTCTTTGCCCTGGGCACAGCGTGCATGGATGTCTCCACAGCACAGAGAGCAGGCCTGAGCCATTTTTGTCCTTTAATATGCTATTGATGCTTGTTTCCTGGTGACTAGTGGGGAGAAACAAGTTTTTGGTTTTGTTGATTTCCCAGCCCCTAGAATACTTACTTATCTATTAAAAAAGGTTAGATTTAGAAAGAAGGAGCTTCCCAGAATACCTGCTCATGAGATAACTGGAAATAAACGCAGATAGAAACTTCCCAAGGAAGATTAATAATCAGAAATTCTAAAGCCTTGAGAGGGAAAAATGCATAACAAAATTGCTTTTTGTGTTCTTCTTTTTATCTGCACTACACCTAGGAATACTTTTCATTTTGTCCCTGATTTACAGTGCTAAACAAAGAGAAAATCTTGTGTTTAGTCATGATTTATGATAGCTCAATTGAACAGCTCAGGCCAAAATATCCACTTCAGTGCCTGAATTATTGAATTATTTACAGGGGATTTCTGCATCAGCCAGCAAGTCAGATAATTACTAAATGTCCCTATTTTCTTTGTCCATAAGCATAGATGCTTTTGTTGATGGAGTTACTAAAATGAGAAAAAATGTTTAGCAAACCATCGAAAGGCACAGTAGACAATAAAAAAGACTGATTTTGACAGATTTCTGAACTAAAGAAGTTTTCCTCATTCTGTGCTCATTAAAAAAGTGAGTGAAGTCCTGAAGGAAGATAATTTTGCTTGATGGAAATAATAAAATCTTATTTGTTTAGCTTCCCATGACTAGATGATTTGGGTGACCTTTCAAGGTAAGGATTATGTGTTAGTCCATTTTGTGTTGCCACAAAGGAATACCTGAGGTTGGGTATTTTATAAAGAAAAAAGGTTTATTTGCCTCATGATTCTAAAGACTGTCCAAGATTCATGGTGCCAGCATCTGATTCTGGTGAGGGACTCAGGAAGTTTCTACTCATGGCCGAAGGCAAAGAGGAGCCAAAGAGTGCAGAGATCATAGGGTGAGAAGACATGAGAGAGAGGGAGGGTAAGGGAGGTCTCAGACACCTCTCTAACAACCAGATCTCATGTGAACTAATAGAGTGAGGGCTCACTCATTACCATAGGGAGGGCACAAAGTCATTCATGAAAGATCCAACCCCATGACCCAAACCCCTCCCTCAAAACCTCATATCCAACATTGGTAATCATATTATAACATGAGATTTGAAGGGAACAAATATACAGACTAGCCAAACCATATCAGACTATACTACACGTGAGATGTGACTGCAAAGTGTGACTGACAAAGGCAAGTTGTCCCCTTTAAAGGGATCACCCAGGAAGTCTGGTCATTCATTTAAAATGGTTTTTTACTGACATTCATAAATTTCAACTTCTTTTTTTCAAGTTGTCTTCAGAGCTTGTAACTGACTTTTGGCTATCCTCAATTATGATAGCTGTGAACAATTTTGCCCATTTCTAAAAAAGGAAATGTATTCTCTAAATATGGAATCTAAATTTGTTAACTAAGGTAGAAGTCCAATCCACCTTTGGCCAGATTCACCTTAAAATAATAAGACCCATTATTTTAGCCAGGATGTAGTAGATAAAATTTAAGATGATGCCCCTATCATAAAATAATAATATGTTACTGTAGAATTTATCCTTTCACTTTTCAACACATAGACAATATTTGTTCATTGTTGGATTGAAAGAAAAGATAAACTTTTCTCCAACTCCCCCATTTATAGATTGGTAACTATTCATCCAGATTCAGTAATATGGTTTGGCTGTGTTTCAACCCAAATCTCATGTTGTAGTTTCAATAATCCTCACATATTGTGGGAGGGACGCAGTGGGAGGTAATTCAATCATGAGAGCAGTTATCTGCATGCTGTTCTCATGATAGTGAGTGAGTTCTCACAAGGCCTGATGATTTTATAAGGGGCTTTTCCCCCGTTGCTCAGCACCTCTCCTTCCTGCCACCATGTAAAGAAAGACATGGTTGCTCCCCTTTCCACCATGATTACAAGTTTCCTGAGGTTTCCCCAGCGCTGTGGAACTATGAGTCTGTTAAACTCTTTCCTTTATAAATTTCCCAGTCTTGCGTAGTTTTTTATAGCAGCATGAGAACAGACTAATACAATAAATTGACACCACAGAGAGTGGGGTGCTGCTATAAAGATACCCCAAAATGTGGAAGCAACTATGGAATTGGTTAACAGGCAAAAGTTGGAATAGTTTGGAGGGCTTGGAAGAAACAGAAAGATGTGGGAAAGTCTGGAACTTCCTAGAGACTTGTTGAATGTCTTTGGCCAAAATGTTGATAGTGATATGGACAACAAAGTCCAGGTTGAGGTGGTCTCAGAGGAAGATGAGGACCTTTTTGGGAACTGGAGCAAAGATGATTCTTGCTATGCTTTAGCAAAGAGACTGATGGCATTTTGCTCCTGCCCTAGAGACCTGTGGAACTTTGAACTTGAGAGAGATGATTTAGGGTATCTGGAAGAAGAAATTCCTAAGTGGCAAAGCACTCAAGAGAAAGCAGAGCATGAAAGTTTGGAAAATTAGCAGCCTGATAATGCAATAGAAAAGAAAAACTCATTTTCTGAGGAGAAACTCAAGCCTGCTGCAGAAATTTGTATAAGTAACCAGGACCCAAATATTAATCACCAAATCAATGGTGTAAATGTCTGCAGGGCATGCCAAAGACCTTATGACAGTGCCTCCTATTACAGATCCAGAGGCCTAAGAGGGAAAAATGGTTTCCTGGGCTAGGCCCAGGGCCCTCCCACTCTGTGCAGTCTTGGGACATGGTACCCTATGTCCCAGCTGCCTCAGCTCCAGCCGCGGCTAATAGCGGCCAAGGTACAGTTTGAGCCATTGTTTCAGAGGGTGCAAGCCCCAAGCTTTGGAGGCTTCCATGTGATATTCAATCTGTGGGTACACAGAAGTCAAGAATTGAGGTTTAGGAACCTCCATCTAGATTTCAGAGGATGTATGGAAACACCTGGATGTCCAGGCAGAAGTTTGCTTCAGAGGCACAGCCCTCATGAAGAACCTCTGCTAGGGCAGTGGGGAAGGAAAATGTGGGGTTGGAACCCCCACAGCATCCCCACTGGGACACTGCCTAGTGGAGCTGTGAGAAGAGAGCCACCATCCTCCAGACCCCAGAATGGTAGATCTACCAACAGCTTGTACCATGCACCTGGAAAAGCCACTGACACTCAATGCCAGCCTGTGAAAACAGCCGGAGTGGGGCTGTACCCTGCAAAGCAATGGGGGCGGAGCTACCCAAGGCCATGGGAGCCCACCTTTTGCATCAGCATGACCTGGATATTTTAGTTTTAAAATAAAACTAAAATTATTCAGTCGTCCAAATGTAATTACAGAATAGCCGTTGATGTACTCATGTACAATATGCAGAAAATTGCCCCTCTCAGGACATGTGAACTGCAAACTGTCTCACACTGAGGTATTTGTGAAAATATCCCATTCTCCCAAATATATTTCAAATGACTAGAGAGAAGTAATTACATCACTGTATTTATTTATATATGTTTATTTCCCTCCCAACTTAGTGACTGTGACTTAAAAGTGCTTGCATTAGTCTGTTATCATACTGCCATAAAGAAATACCCAAGACTGGGTAATTTATATAGAATCAAGGTTTAATTGGCTCACAGTCCTGCTGGCTGTACAGGAAGCATGGCAGTATCTGCTTATGAGAAGACCTCAGGGAGGTTTTACTCATGACAGAAGGCAAATCATAAGCAGGTGTCTTACATGGTTGGATCAGGAGCAGGAGAGCAAGGTGGGAGGTGCTACATGCTTTTAAAACAACTAGATCTCATGTTAACTCACTCACTCACTATCACAAGAATAGCACTAAGGGGATGGTGCTAAACCATTCATGAGAATTCTGCTCCCATGATCCTATTACCTCCCACTAGGCCCTACCTCTGGCATTAGGGATTACATTTCAGCATGAGATTTGGGTAGGGACACAGATCAAAACCATATCAGTGCTCCATTAATATGTCATGAATATCGTTTCATGTATGACATACACTGCCTCTCAAGGTATTTCTTTTTTTAATTTTAATTTTTTAAAACTTTTATTTTAGATTCAGGGGTACATGTGCATGTTTGTTAATAGGTAAATTGTGTGTCGTGGAGGTTTGGTATAGAGATTATTTTGTCACTTAGATAATAAGCATATAACCAATAAGCAGTTTTTTAATCCTTAACCTTCTCCCACTTTTCATCCTCAAGTAGGCCCTGTTGTCCATTGTTCTCTTCTTTGTGTCCATGTGTACTTAATGTTTGGCTCCTACTTATAGGCAAGAACATGTGATATTGGGTTTTCTGTTTCTGTGTTAGTTTGCTTAGGATAATGGCCTTCAGCTGAATCCATGTTGTTGCATTCTTTTTAATGGTTGCATAATATTCCATGATATATATGTACCACATTTTCTTTATACAGTCTACCATTGATGGGCATTCATGTTGATTCCACATCTTTGCAATTGTAAATAATGCTGCTGTGAACATAAGTGTGCATGTGTCTTTATGGTAGAACAATTTATATTCCTTTGGGTATATACCCAATCATGGGATTGCTGGGTCAAATAGTAGTTCTGTTTTAAGTTCTCTGAGAAACTGCCAAACTGTTTTCCACAATGGCTGAACTAACTTACATTCCCACCAGCAGTGTATGAGTGTTCCCTTTTCTCCACAACCTCACCAGCATCTACAATAACCAAAACAGCATGGTACTGGTACAAAAACAGATAGATCAATGGAACAGAATATAGAGTCCAGAAATAATGTCACACACCTGAAAGTATTTGATCTTTGACAAAAACAAGCAATGGAGAAATGACTCCCAATTCAATAAATGGTGCTGGGATAACTGGCCAGCCATTTGTGGAAGATTGAAACTAAACCCCTTACTTATTCTATATTAAAAAATTAACTCAAGATAGATTAAAGACCAAAATCTTAAACCAAAAACTATAAAAACCCTGGAATATAACCTAGGAAATACCATTCTGGACATAGGACCTGGCAAAGACTTCATGACACAGACACCAAAAGCAATTGCAACAAAACCAAAAATTGACAAATGGACCTACTTAAAATAAAGAGCTTCTGCACAGCAAAAGAAACTATCAGCAGAGTAAACACGCAACCTCCAGAATGGAAGAAAATATTTGCAATCCATGCATCTGACAAAGTTCTAATATTCAGAATACATAAGGAACTTAAACAAATTTCTCAAGGTATTTCAAATAAGAATTCTAAAATTATTTTTAAGATTTTTAAGGATTGGTGGCATTACTAGAATAAGCTTATGACTTTCCAAATTTGTTTCTATATAACATTTATATACATTATCTGTACATGTAAATTGAACTACATAATTTCACTTGTCAGCTAAGCTAGTCTTAATTTTTGGTCACATTTCCTATAATGTATTTTTATTTATTTATTTATTTATTGAGACAGAGTTTCACTCTTGTTGCCCAGGCTGGAATGCAATGATGCAATCTTGGCTCACTGCAACCTCCACCTCCCAGATTCAAGTGATTCTCCTGCCTCAGCCTCCTGAGTAGCTTACAGGTGTTCACCACCAAGCCGCAACTAATTTTGTATTTTTAGTAGAGATGAGGTTTCACCATGTTGGTCAGGCTGATCTCAAACTCCTGACCTCAGGTGATCAATGTATTTTAATAATAGAAATAAATGAGCTCTTGGGCACATTTACTCTATACCGCAGGAACCAGCAGCCCAAAAAGCACTGAGCTCAAATTTGAGCTCTATCATTTACTAGTTATACACACTTAGACATTTTACTTATCCTTCCCAAACTTTACTTTTCTCACCTGTAAGGAGATATTAAATGCCTTTTAGAATTTAAATTAAGTGAGATAACATGGGCAAATTATCTTACACAGGTCTCAGCATTTCAGCATTTAGTAATAACCCGATGAATGTTAACATGTTATTTTACTGAAGATCAAAAAGCATTTTTTAAAACATGTCATGGTATTTCTATGAAAATCGAAGGTTATTGCAACAAATTTATTTTATCTGTTCATTAGAGCAGAGCCAGTTGTCTGTCTAGCTAAAAACACACTATTTCAAAGTTACTATATGCAGCTGAAAGTAATAAAACTGTATTTGCTTTTTAAACATCCATAATTTTGGCTCACTTTTTGTTTGTGTTTTATTTTGGCCTCTACATGTCTAATATTTTCTATGTAATTTCATGTTGTTTGTTGCTGCTGTATTTTACTGTGTACTTTCCTGAGTATTTATTGTTCAGAATTGATGAAGTTTCTGGAATTAGAATGGAAACTCTCTGAGGTCTTCTGTTCACTTGGTTGGTATCTTATTCATGAGTCACTGGATGAATTGAGGCAGGGTAATAATTCTGGCAGTGGCTGTCAATGTCAAAATAGAATGCTGAGCTGAACTTTACGGTTTAAAATGTGTATCCTGAGTTGTCAGGGTTGCTAGATTTAAAGTGTTTGACTTTGGAAAGAATTTGGACAGAATTTGATAGACAACTACTAACTCAGGCCTGGAACTCAATTCACCTCTGAAATGAGAAAGGGCCCATCTCCTTTTTTTTTTTTTCCCCTACTCTATTCCCTTTTTCTCAACCTTATTTCTCTGCATAGTCCAAGGACCAATCACCCGGTAGACAGATCATGCATTAAGAATGTACACAGTGTGAGCTGAGTCAGGAGAAACGGCCCCCTCTCCAGTAGAGGGGCAGCTTCCATTCCATTTTAAGCTGGACTTGAAATCAATATGTCATTATAAACATGTATGTTGCAGGCAGAGACAGGAAGTGGATGCGTACACAGGATAAAGTAATTTGGAAGCATTAGTTACTTTGAAATGTGCCGCACACCAAGGAGACATGAGCATTTCACAGTGGATTTCTTTGCCTCAATCAATGTCCTTATTTTGCTCATTTGAAGTAGTTTTATAGACCAGCAGGGTCACATGCTTGGGAAATTTCAAATTTCAGGTACATTTTCTTACTGCTAGTCCAGCTCCCAACCTCTAAATTGTTTACTTTTAACTGCAAGCCACATCATTTGTCTTAGAGAGAAAATCTCTGATAAGTTATCTATCTATCTATCTATCTATCTGTCTATCTATCTATATATTTATCTATCACCTATCTATCTATCGATCGATCATCTATTTATCCATCTATCTATTGGGATATGTGCATTAATTCATCCCACAAATAATGGTGTTTTGTGCTCAATTGTTCCTTAGTAGCATAATTATCTTGAGAGTAAACTCATTGATAATGATCCCATTCCTATTACTCCCTCAAAAAATGCAATAAGCTAGTATGACAAGCATGCGGTGATATATACAATTGAGAAAGGGGCCAGAGTGTCAGAAGTGTTCAAACCAGAGCAACTCCATCTTGAATAGGGGGTGAGTAAAACGAGGCTGAGACCTGCTTGACTGAATTTCAAGGAGGTTAGGCACTCTTAGTCACAGGATGAGACAGGAGGTCAGCAAGACTGGTATCAGGTCACAAAGACTCTGCTGATGAGACAGGATGCTGTAAAGAAGCCAGCGAAAACTGCCAAAACCAAGATGACAGAAAGTGACCTCTGGTCGTCTTCACTCCTCATTATATGCTAATTATAATGTGTTAATATGTTAAAAGACACTCCCACCCATGTCATGACAGTTTACAAATGCCATGGCAACGTCCAGAAGTTACCTTATGTGGTCTAAAAAGGGAAGGAACCCTGAGGTCCAGGAACTCCCTACCTCTTTCCTGAAAAACTCATGAATAATCCATCCCTTGTTTAGCATATAACTAAAAATAACCTTAAGTACACTCAGTCAAGTAGCACATGCCGCTGCTCTGTCTATGGAGTAGTCATTCTTTTATTCCTATAATTTCTTAATAAACTTGTTTTCACACTATTCTGAGGACTCGCCTTGAACCTTTCTTGCACAAGATCCAAGAACCCTTTCTTGAATTCTGGATCAGGATCCTTTTCTGGTAACAACAGCAGGATTTACAAAATTCTTCCGTAGATTTTCATGACATTCAGCCTTCCATGGATCTCTTTAAAAATATTTTTCTATTTCTCCTAAATGACTTTAAACCATCTCACCCCCAAGTCTTCAACTTCCAAACTTCTTTTTGGGACAACAGTGAACTTGCTCCCTGCTCACCTGTAGAAGAGTCCTTTTTTTCTCTCCAGATTTCTTGACTCTTCTATCTTCAAATCCGCCCCCAATTTAATGAGCTGCATCTTTTACAAGTTGATGGCTATTCTGACCTTCTTTACATAAGGGAAGTATTTTGCTTTATTTTCCAAAAATGGCAATACTTTTATGTCAATCCAGCCTCATTCTCTCATTTGATCAGGGACGGAGGTTTAGGCTTCCCAGTCTCATTTCTAATATATTTTTTAAGGGCTAGGTGGGTGAAACATTTAGGTCTTTTATGGGTAAACATTTTAAGGAAGAAATGCAGCTAATTGTTGACAGTGCTTTTAAAAGATTTGCATTAAAAATGCTTATTGGAACATTGCTAACATAAGATTGTTAATTTGTTTGGTCTGCATATACAAATCAGCATTTAAAACATAGATTTGTATAGTGAAGATTAGCTTCACCACAAACAAACGTTCCAGTCCTCTATCCTTGTTAGTGGGTACAGTCACTTGCTACATCAATTCAGTCCAAATGAGGAGGAGACTTTGGCTATTGAGATGGATCTAATACTAACTGTGAAATTTAAGACATACCGTGTTCCTTTGTTTGCCTAATTTAGCCAATTTAGAAGTCCACATATTTTAAATAAATTGCTTAGTAAATCCCCACAGATTGGTTTTTAATCTTGCATTTTAATCTCTTGTATCTTTCTTCTCACCTATTCATCCATGCATTTATGCATTCATTTGATATTTATTGAGTAATTGCTATGTGGATGGCACTAGGCTAAATACGTGAAGATCTAGGAGAAGAAATAAGACACATGCAAACAACTATAATATAAGGTGGAATATGATACATCTCGCCAGAAAGGCACAGAGGGCTGTGAACATTTACAGATGAGGAAATCAAATTATAGACGGGGAAGACTAAGAATGACTCCTGGAGTGCATTTCCTTGCCCACAAAATGAAGAAAAAGAACATTTAGATATACCCTAAAGAGAGGAAAAGGAGTGAGAACTGTGTGAATAAGTTAGAGAGAAAGACTCTGGTAAGAATGGGACTGATGGATTTGGTTGGGGGTAGGCTACATACAGAAGTAACTAGAGAAACAATTGAAAATGAATGACAGATTAGTGAGTGTTGATAATCAGTTTAAGATTTTTGCATGATAATAAGGAACAACTTAAGGAAATTTTTTAAAATGTCTTTCATTTGATTTTTAGCAAGAAAATTATCTATAAAGGAATTTAAACATAAAAAATAATCAAGACATTGTTAGCTTCAAAAAGGCTGTTAAATCAATCCAAGTGAAAAGCAACAAGGTTTAGCAAAGTACAAACAAAAAGGGAAAAACAATTAAGACATGGTATAATTGAAACTGTGAAGCAACATAGATCAGCTTTTAGAGGGATGACGGTCAAAAATGAGACAAGGGCTACACTGCCTATAGAGTATCACAAAGGAAAAGCATAAAAATGAAGAGGATAACTAGCTTAAATGCTCTTTAATTCACAGAATTCTCCAACAGAGGTTATGCAATCTCTACTTAGATTATTCAAATGTATCAAATTGCTTTCAAGCAAAAGGGCATTGATGTTGAAGTCCGATGGCTTCAATATAAAAATGGACCACCCTTTAGAGCAAAGGAGATCTACCTGGTTCCCATGGCAAGCTTTGATAAACGTCAATCAAAGGTACTCACATTGTCATGTTCATGACAATGGTCAGGTCTTGGCTTTCAGGCTGTATAGAGCTGGATATTTCATAAATCATACTTATCAAAGAAATCTCTGCACAAATGCTGTACTAGATGCTAGTCTCTGCCTCCAGGAAACTCACTGACCAGTGGGGAAGGAGACCATGTTTCCTCCACTCTGTGTCACTTCCTCACTACCTACTCAGTCCCTAACACTTTGTAATCTGATTTCCCCCAACTTCTCAGCGGAAACACCTACTTCAAGTTACGTCAATCTAGACACCAAACTGAATAGCTTCTACTTGGTTCTGATTTACTTTGCTCTATTCTGCAATATTTGAAACTATTGGTCATCTTTTTGGTCATATATCTATTTCCTCTCTTAATCACTACTCTTTCCTCAGCACTTTCAGTGTAGGCTGATGCAAGACACACACACACACACACACACACACACACACACACACACAGACTCACTCACATACATCTTTTTATTTTTCTCTTCCATTGATTGCTGTAACACTTTTCTCTATTAGTTTTTCTGACAAGTTTCTTTTACTTTCCCACTCTTTATCTGTCTTTCTTCCTTTCTTTAATCCTTAGTACGGTTATGCAATGCATAACAATGTTTCAGTCAGTGACTGAGTGACCGCACTTACAAGGGTAGTCCGATAAGATTATAATACTGTATTTTTACTGTACCTTTTCTATGTTTAGATATATTTACATACACAAATACTTACCATTGCATTACTATTGCCTACAGTATTTAGTACAGTAACATGCTGTAAAGGTTTGTGGCCCAGGAATAATAGGCTACACCATATAGCATAGCTGTGTAGTAGGCTACACTATCTAGCTTTGTGTAAGTTCATGCCATGATGTTCACATAATGACAAAATTGTCTAATGACACATTTCTCACAACATAGCCCATTCGTAAGTGATGCATGATATCATAGGTTTCTGCTAAGGTGCTTCCTGGGATCTTTTGTCTAATTTAAATGCTCATTTTGTTGTTGTTGACATCATTGACTCTCATAGATAGAAGCCTTAAACATCCTATGGAAATAAAAGAGCACAAGCAGTCTTTGGTAATAGTAAGTAGTTTGTGAAAGCCACAGCTTAGACTGGGGAAGTCTGAGAGTGCTGGAGGGAAGACTGCTGAGATAGGCAAGGCCAGGTCCTGGGGAACTTCTGGGTCAGAATAAAGTCAGACCGAATCCTATAGGCAAAAGAGAACAATTGAAACATTGTCAGCTGTGGCATCAGGGTCACATTGTATTGTTTGTTTTAGAAGGACCACAGTGCAGTGGAGTAGAGGATATTCAAAGCAAGAATGACAATTAGTTTCAACTAGTGTTCAAACTACATAAACTGGCACTGTGTTGAAGAGGATTCTGAGGCTATGCTCAGGCTAATGTAGAAAAAAAGCCTTAATTTTGTATCCAGGTATGACTGTTATCCCAGGAAGAACTTCCAAAAATATGTGTGCTGCCATTGTATCACTTCCAAAAAGAATGCATTTGACTTCACCATGCAGTATCTAGAAAATGTGAGGCATATTGAGGAATCGATGGAAATATAAGTCAAGGAAAGATTCAGCTTCCAAGAGAAATAATATTTTTCCCTATTGTTAAAAATAAGTGTGGTTTTCAAGAGCACAGTAGCAGAGACATGCAGATCATGTGACAGGTATTTGCCATCAAAGGGCTGGTAAGTGAAGCAAGACCAGGAGAATGATGGGAGGAGCAGTTAGGAAGCTGTTGATGAATCCAAAATGGAAATGATGAAGTTCTAAATTAAGCTAATGTCCATGGTGCTCGAGAGAAGAGGATGGATTTGAGTGATATTAAAGATGTAATTGAAATCATTGACAGAACCCTGAGATCATGATAATTTAATTGGAAGGTTGAAGATGAAGTGCTTATAAAGAAAACACAATAAAGGTCTTAGAGACATGAAGAAAACCCAGAGAGAGTGGTGTCACAAAAAGCCAATTCTAGTTCAGGAAGAAGGAAAAGTGTTGCAGAAAGGTGAAGTAGGAGGTGACTGAAAGGTGTCTATTGAATTTCTGCTGCTAGGATAATTGACCCCAGCCAGAACAATTTCAGTGCACTAGTGGGAAGGGAAGCTAAGTTAACTATCTTCATTTTCTCATCTCTCATTCACCCCTTTCAAGAAACCTAGGCTATAAAAGCTAGGAAGGTGAAGCTATGAAAAACTGAAGGTCATTTCACTTTTTGCTGTTGTTTTTCAGATGGTAAATGTATTAGCATGTTTACAGGTAAAAGAGAGCTCTATTTGGGAGGGGGAATACAGAAAATGCAGGAGAGAGGGTCCCTGCATTCTGCTGCTGGTAGCAAAAGTGGGACAATTAGACTAGGAACAAGAAAGAAGGAAACAAGAAAGTGGGTGTGGATGCAAATCAATTTTTAAGTGTGGGGAAGGAAGCTAAGGGAAACCAAATATGATAGACTTATTTTGTTTAGTCAGCTAGGCCTATTTCCTGAGAGAGAGGTGGGATAGAAGACTTCAGAATAATAATGACATTCATACCATTATTATGGTAAAAATTATGTTTTGGTATAATTTACAAAGACATTCATTATTATTCATAATGAATAAAGGTGAATAGCAACAAGTAAAGGATTATTTTGAGCAGCTCTGAAGACCTACCTATGGTTTTCAATTGGAGTCAGTAGTTCTTATCCTTGCTAGTTCTCTCACTGTGATAAAATCTGCACTTGGCTATTTGGGACAATACTAGAACGAGAGGCCTGCTTCTCCCCCTGATTCTTGAGTTTGGTGCCCCTGAGTGAGTGGGTGGAGGAAACACTCAGGTCATAAAATGAAGCTAATTATTTCTCAATGAGTTCCTGAAGGAAGCCTTGGGAACTTTGTCCACAGGGATGACTCTTCTAACTTCATGTGCTTTTCATAGAATTATCCTATCAGATCCCTGTAGAGACTACTTATGAGGTGCTATCCACTGGCTGCCTAGCACCAAAACTATAATCAGCTTGGGTCTTTCACCACATACTAGGAAGCTATGTTTTCTTTAGATGCCTCTAGAGTAAAAGCTTCAGTCTTTAGTTTGGTCCTGTTCTAATTGACAATCCCTATCTTTCCCCAGTAAAAATCCATGAGTTTTCTCCTCATCTGATTAATACCAGTGAGCAACTCCACCAGAGGACAGAAAGCCAATAGGCTGTTTCCAATAACTGACTCAGCATGCTCTATTTTGGATGTGATAAGACTGACTTCTAGAGCCATGAGCTGTTGAACCACAACTGTGGTTTATAGATACTAAATAACAGGTTATTACACATAACTGTAAATATTCCATTTGACAGCCTCAAGAGGTACAGACCATGATGATTAATTATTCTTATGGCTTGTGGCTGGTTGATTTTTTGAAGGCATAGGTCCCAATGGGTTGGCATTTTAATTATACACAAATGTATATGTGTGTGTATGATATATGTAGATATGTGTGTATGAACACACACACATATACACAAAATTCAGCCTTTAGAAAACTTGTCAGCTCTTGTATAAGAATGGCAATGGGTTCATTTACCCTTTGGTAGGAATGATGAGCACCACGCCAGGACTGCCCACTCAGCGCTGCTTTTGTGACATAGATTTTGATACTGAAACAGAACAAGTTAAAGCCTTGTTCCAAATGGACATGGCTCTCACAGAACCAGATCCAGGCTCCTAAAACAGACTAATCCTTGCCTTTTTGGTGCAGTTGGAGAAGAAATTGAATTTGAAAAATGTCTGTTATGCAATGTTGAAGACATGGAGAAATAGGCCAAAGATTTCTTCTTCCTTCAAGATGAATTCTGTTCTCGATGGAGTATAGTGTTCAGCAAAAGGACCTCCACCAAGTCTAGAAACTAATTTATTTCTGTCAAGAAACTAATTTATTTCTGTTTCTGTAGTGTTTACATTATTTCTACTGCTTACACTTTAGAATGTTTATTTTATGGGGACTAAGGGATTAAAAGAGTGTGAACTAAAAAACAAATTTTTTTAAAAGAATTGTTCCTAGAGAAAAGGGATTGAGACTGTAATGAGAAGGTGGTGGGATTCACTCTCTCATCACTGTCAGCCTTGCAGGGGCTGCTGCTGTGAATAAAATCTTGCTTTACCTCCTGATTTGAATTAGTGATGGTTTGACTCAGTTTATGGGTCCACATGCCTTCATCCACAATTACAAAATCCCAAAAGCTCTGTGAGCAACAGTGGTTTTACAAATGTATGAAAAAAATATATTTGGTGTCAAAATCTGACATCAGTTGAGGTGAGATGATCTACAGTTTCAATTATCTCACTTAGTGTGAATTATTTCCTTCAGAAATATTAGTGCTTTATGGTTACAGAGTGCCCCGTCTCCACAATTTGGTCTGTTCTGGTCTATGTAATGTATAACATATGAAAAGAATCTGAATATATTACAAAATAGCATCCTTTGCTTGTAAGTAGCTAAAACACTAATTGGGGAAATTTCTAAAAAATGTGATGCTTTCACAACAGTCATTTAATTTGGAGGAGAAAAATCAGCTGTTACAGAATTAAAAATTCGTTGTTGAAAGATTATTTTGGAGGCTGCAAGTAACTAAATTTAACCTTTACACTACTTTCCCAAAATGGTGACATTGTGACTGCAGTTACAAAGAAAGCCCCATATTAAAACATATCATCCCCAAAGATTTCAAAATAAAAAATGGGAGCCTGTACTTGTATCCATCCTGTCAAAATGTGAGTGCTGTTCGCGTCAACATTGAATGACATTTGGATGATCTTTTAACCTTTATTTTTCTTTAACCCAGTGGCTCCTAAACTTTACTGCACATCAGAATCACTTGAGCATCTTTATTTTTTTATTTTTAAAAAATTTTATGGAATGCTTCATGAATTTACATGTCATCCTTGAGCAGTGGTCATGCTAATCTTCTCTGTATTGTTCCAGTTTTAGTTTATGTTCTGCCGAAGCAAGCACATCTTTAAAAAATACTCAATACTCTGCCTCGGCCTCCCAAAGTGCTGGGATTACAGGCGTAAGCCTTCAAGACCAACCTGGCCAACATGGCGAAATCTGTCTCTACTAAAAATACAAAATTAGCTGGGCGTGGTGGCACGCACCTGTAATCCCAGCTACTCAGGAGGCTGATTCAGGAGAATCACTTGAACCCGGGAGGTGGAGTTTGCAGTGAGCCAAGATCAAGATTGCACCACTGTACTCCAGCCTAGGCAACAAGAGTGAAACTCCGTCTCAATTAAAAAACAAAACAAAACAAAACAAAAACTAAAGTCTGGCTACCTTCTCCAAACATTCTGAATTAATTAAGATGGAATGTGACCGGGCATCAGGGTTAAAGTGTCTTCAAGAGACTCAGTGTATAGCAAAGTTTGGGGATTCCTGTTTTAACATGAAGCAGAGTTACTTCTGGTGACACGTACCTCAACAGAGCAAGCCTAGACACCCTGAGGAATGTTTTCTGACACTTGAATTAAATTATACTGTATAGATACCACGCTTGTGTGAGAGCACCACAAGCTGCTTTGCTTTGTGATGGGTTTTCCATTTGTGGTTTGTTTTTTACATGGGGCTTTCTTTGTAACTACAGTCACAGTGTCACCATTTTATATCATGACAGCACAAAGACCTTTAATTTTCCATCCTAATTATACACTTCATATTTGTGTAATTTGGGGAAAGTAGTGTAATGCTTAGATGTAGTTACTTATAGCCTCCAAAATAATCTTTCAACAACCAACCGATAGTTATTTATATAACAACTAATTGTTCTCCTCTAAATTAAATGATTGTTTTGAAAGCATCACATTTCTTTAAGAAATTTGCCCAAATAGTGTGTTAGCTATTTACAAACAAAGGATGTTATTTTGTAATATATTCTCAGCTGAACTGTCTCCAATTTAGGTTGTGAGCACTTACAAATAAGAAAAGGAAAATGAATAAACAAAAGGAAAAGTTTCCAGGAAGGCTGGAGGTCAGTTTAATTTCCATTTGGTTTCAGATTCTATATCCTATTTATTTACTTGTACAAACTTAATAATTTCAGAATTAGTGCCTTCCCAGATGCATGTAATTTATGCCAACTTTATGAAGACACAGGAGAGGTTTGATTAAGTGTCTAGAACATGCTGGATTTCAAGAATGAGAGAAATCACTTTTTCAGTGTTAAAAATGGGAATATAAAAGCACATAGATTGTTAACATTGCAAAGAAATTGAGAAAAATTTAAATGTTTTTCAACTGATGCAGAAGGAAACTTCTCCTAGTTGGTGATTGAGTTATAATGTAGCAAATTCACTTCAGCTTATGGAAAATGTTTTTTATTGTTAAAGAAGGCGAATGAATTAGTGATAAGCTTTGTCAGCAGGGAGCCTGCGGCAGTCATTTTCCCAAGGGAAAAAAGACTAAAAAGTATACATTTAGTATTTGTCACAACTTAAAAGAAAATAAATTGCATTCACCACTGTCTGTGTGGCTAGTTCTGTTACTGGAGCTTCAAAACGAGAATTTGTTTTCACAAACAGATGCTGTTTTACTCAGCGTTTTGCATTGCTAGCATCCAAACAATTAAGGTACAGCCAGCTCCAGAATTTGTGAAGCAATATAGTGAGAAGCACACCTTTATTAAGCATTATTTAAAAGATGGTTTTGTTTGTTTGTTCTACCTGTTTTGCTCATCCAGAAACTGGAATCCAGACTGCAGTTGTCAATAGGAGGCTACTGAGAAGAGAGAAAATATTCTGATAATTGGGGCATATCTTTTATTTGAGAGATCATAACAAGCAAACAAGGATTATCTGAGATAACCAGGTCCATACTGTGGAGTGAACTATTAAGTTAACTCTAAGTATGCTAAAGCATGAACATATATTTAGAATTGCAAGTGGTATGCTTGTGGTACCATTTAGCATCAGTGTGAGCATCACATCTTGCCTCACTAGGGAGCTGTTAAACCACCACTGGAGTATGAGAGAGAGAGAGAAATGTTATTTATGCCCTAAGCCAATGGAAATCCTCTTTTGTTGTAATGGTCTTAGTCTGGGATACTTTGTCTTGGACTCTGCTGATCCTTCTCTGTGCCCTAAGCTTGCCTGCCCTGGAATAATTGCTTCCTTGTATTTAGGCTTATGAACCATTTGCAGAGAATTCTGTCTCTGTCTGCAGTTGCTCATAATTCACACTTCATCAGCTTTCTGTATCTACAGCTGCTGCTATTTCTAATGGCTATTACACAGATCCAGGCAAAGCTGAGAGTTAAAGTTTGAAATTTTTCTCTATGTCACAGTCTGCTATGCTAGGAAGAATTTCTTCCTATCCACAGCATGCTCTTGTTCTCAGGGCTTGGTCTATCACTCTCCCTACCCCATCCCACCCTGAGCTGCACTGCAATGGCATAAGAGCGCTTTGCCTTCAGCTTCAGGAGAAATATGTAGGCAGTCACGGTAGAATGGAAAACTGCCAGTCTTCATAGATTTTTTTTTTTTTTAATAGAAAGACTCCCCTACAGGGCATAGTAACACTAGAGCGTTCTCAAATATACCACCCATGCACACCTCCTGCTCAACCCCTGACAAACAAACAGAATCAATTCAGGATTTGTGGTTTGTTAATTGATCAGTTTCACCCTGACTTCTGAGTGAGAAAGAGTAGTAGAGACGATAAGATTCTGAGGGTGAAGAACTTAATATCCAAATGAGTTCAATGTTTATCTTTATTTTGCTTTATTGTATTTTATTTTATTTTTATCTATCTCAAGTCCAGTCACTAGCAATCCTGCTATTTTATTCATTCAGGACACATTGATGAGGTTTCATGTGGGGCCAGACATCATGTCAGTTGCTGGGAATAAAACATGACCAGGATGCTCTTCTGCCCCCAGGTGTCTTCATTCATGGTCTACATGCATTTTTTATTGCAGCTGAGCTTCTAGCTGTGTGCCTTCATGTGTAGTCGCACAAGGCCATCTTCTTTGGAGAACATCCTAGTCAAGGGCATCTATCACTTGGTCCTGGTGCAGCTCCCAGAACCCCAAAGATCCCTTTTATTAACAGTGGTTCTCAGTTCCAAATGTCTACACCCTGTGTCTCCCCAAAGAAGACATCAATACATTCATAAAAGACAATTTCAGTTTCTTCCATTACTTTTAAAGCTTTATTATTTTTTTAATATGAAAGAGATCCGATTGGGGAGATAATCTGGCAGTACTTTTTTCTTGAAAGCAGGCAAAGAAAAAACAGTGAAAAAAAGAAAAGAAAAACAGAAACATTGTGTAAACCTCAATGCAGCATTGGATGTATGGGGGAGGGGACACTTAATAGATATTGAGTTAAATTGGGCTGAATTAAAACCTGAGTAGAGCTGTGTGTATTGTGAAGTCTCCCTGCCTTGTGAGAAGAGCTATTTAATTGAGAATGGTTATTTCTTTCTAGATGTCCTGGAACATATTGTGTTGTCTACTCATACACCTTTTTACACTTCCACCTTTCCAGATTATGTAGCTATAAAACTAGATCCGCAAGTAGTCAGTGTCTGCATTAGTTTGTTCTCACACTGCTATAACTAACTACCTGAGATTGCGTAGTTTATATAAAAAAAAAAAAGAGGTTTAATTGACTCGTGGTTCCCCAGGCTGAACAGGAGGCATGGCTGGGAGGCTTCAGGAAACTTACAATCATGGTGGAAGGTGAAGGGGAAGCAGGCACATCTTACCATGGCGGAGCAGGAGAAGGAGAGAGTGAAAAAGCAAGTGCTACACACTAGAACTCCATCACAAGAGCAGCAAGGGAGAAGTCCGCTCCAATGATTAAATCACCTCCCACCAGGTCCTCCTGCAACACGTGGGGATTTCAATGCAACATGATATTTGGGTGGGGACACAGAGCCAAACCATATCAGTATCATTACTCTGTGTCTATACCAATATTTGACTCCATACCTTACCACAATGAAAATGTGGATGGGAGGACAGGGAGACATCCAAGGTAGATCTCGGCAGTAGGACTTAACACCTCAGTAATGGCGGATGGGAATGCTAGTGTTCAGGCTCTCATTCTAATCCTGAGATCACACCAGGCCTGCTTCAGAGCTGAGGGAAATGTGATGGGTATGACAGAACTTCACAACAATGTCTCCTTCATTCGAATTCTCCTCAGCTACCTAATAATGCCCCCATATCTAAACATTACACTACCTAAAATGCAGGACAAAAACTGACATTAGAGGTTGTTATTTTATCTTGGATTTCTGTGGAATTTTTTGCTTAACATAGCAATGGTAGCCATACCCCAAGCATTTCCTTGGGACTTAATGACTAGATGAGGTAATTGAGAATGAGTAGTTGAGCTAGTGACATATCGTACACCACCATCATGATGGCTTAAATGGCTTTTTTTGGAGGGGACAGGGTCTTACTCTCTTACCCAAGCTGGAGTGCAGTGATGCCTTCATGGCTCACTGCACCCTCAACTTCCCCAGGCTCAGGGGATTATCTCGCCTCAGTTTTCATATTTTTAGTAGAGATGGGGTTTCACCACGTTGTCCAGGCTGGTCTCAAAGTCCTGGCCTCAAGAAATCCTCCTGCCTCAGCCTCCCAAAGTGCTGGGATTACAGGTATGAGCCACCATGCCCAGCCTCATGACCTCATTTTAACTTGCTTACCTCTGTAACAACCCTGTTTCTAAACAGGGTCATATCCTGGGATGCCAGATTTAAGATTTCAAACATATCTTTTTTGGGTGGGGGGATAAAATTCAACCCGCAACATCACATCTCCACCATTCTAGGTCCCCATCCTCAATGTGATCTACCTGATTAGGTCATAGGCAGAATCTTAAAGTGCAAGACGAGGTTATTCAATTCTGTGGGTCTCTGTGGGAAGGGACATTAGCAAGTCAGTGGGCCGACAATGCATTCTCCTTCCCTCTCATCTGGTAAAGCCCTCCCTAGAAGATGGAGTGCCCAGGACAAAGCAGTATTTGATCTCATTCCTAGATCATGTTTATCCATGTGAACACGTGCAACTCCCTCTACACACACACACACACACACACACACACACACACGTTTGAGGAAACTGTGTTAAAATAAGTATCCAGGGAAACCCTTGAAGAGAAATAGCAAGAAATAATACCAGTGTGCATGCTCTATAAGAATAAGAAGTGTCTTCTCAGGAGGGCCTAGTACTTATACAAGTTGTGTAGTTGAAAACTGTGTCTTTTTGTACACAAGCTGGCAGATTCTCCTCTTCCTCCTTCACTGACTACACAGCTCTCTAATGCCATAGGCCTCGCTCCATGTTGGGAAGCCCCTTAGTTAGTTGGGCCCACAGAGGAGATACTGGTGATAATAACAGCCCTTCTTAAGGATGACAGTCTTTTTAATTTTTATGAGTACATAGTAGGTGTGCATATTTATCAAGTACATGAGATATTTTGATACAGACATACAATGTGTAATAATCACATCAGGGGAAATGAAGTACAGGGATGACAGTTTTGGCAAGGCTAATATAAGCCTACAACCCTGAGTGCAGCAATTGGAAAGCTGGAAAGAACAACAGAGAAAATCCTGTGCTATTATTGCTGATTTGGTTTTCTTTCAAATGCAAAAGCTCCAATAAATGGGTAGTGAAGAATACCAAAATCTGCTAATAAGCCACCTGTATACCAAAGATAATAAATGTAATATGCATAGTAATCAAGGTTTTCCCTCAGGTAGAAATTAAATTTTAAAAGAAGAGCTGGAAAATTTTGATAAATAATGATCCATGAACATATCTTTCAAAAGGTATGTTCTTTTAAATATTTGTGTGCCCACATTGCACGCAGGGAAGGCAATGTTTGAAGTTGTAACTCTGTCTGCCTTACTCTGGTATGTAACAGGCCCAGCAGTCCTTTACAGGAGGTGGGCTTCCGCTGTTTTGTGCTCGTTAGACCTAGCCACAGCTGATCTTTTACAGGGATGCAGAAAATGGCTGAACCTGAGGAGACACCTGGTGGAGAATAAAAGCATTCTTCTCTCTGGGTAAGGTACACTTACTTGTTTTTTCCATAATATTTCAGATGACAAGAGAGCAAGACAATGTCACAGGATCTTTGTGTTTGCTTCTTAGCAGTCTAGAGATGTGAAGCAATTACACAAGAAGTAAAAAAGATGTTGTGCTAATTTAGCCCTCCTACTAGTGCAGTTCATACTCAATGAGTTTAATTATGTCCAACATTTATTTATTTATTCACTCATCTGTGCATATAGATGCACCAAGGAAGGAGAGGTCTTGGCTCCTGTGTGCAGCTCATGCTGAGCTATGGAGGCAAGACATACAGTCTCAAGAGTGGGGATTAAGGGTGTAATTGCGTGGGATTAGACCACATCAGAATGCTAAGTGCCAGGTAAGCAGAGAATTGATGAATTAGGGGAGCTCTCAAAACTGGGGATTAGAAGTGGGGTGTTCAATCAGTAGAAGATTCGGTTGAGCTGAGAGGGAGAAACGGGCACTACATGAGAGTATATGGAAAAAGAAAATCACTTGTAGGAACGGTTGGTGGATAGGACGCTGGACTATCTGTCACAGAGGGCTGTGTTTAGGACTCATGAGAGATAAATTGGACTAGATAAGGTACGGCTTACTAAAAGAAAGTTTCTTGGCTGGGTGCGGTGGCTCACTCCTGTAATCCCACCACTTTGGGAGGCCAAGGCAAGTGGATTATTTGAGTTCAGGACTTCGAGACCAGCCTGGCCAACATGGTGAAACTCTGTCTCTACTAAAAATACAAAAAATTAGCCTGGGGTGGTGGTGTGCGCCTATAATCCCAGCTACTCAGGGGGCTGACGCAGGAGAATTGCTTGAACCTGGGAGGCAGGGGTTGCAGTAAGCCAAGATCACGCCACTGCACTTCAGCTTAGGCGACAGAGCGAGACTCCATCTCAAAAAAAAAAAAAAAAAAAAAAAAAAAAAAGAGAGTTTCTTAGCATCACAACTAAAAAGCTGTCTACCCACAAATATGTTTAGGAGGAGATCAGGCTGGCATTATAGAATGTCAACGGTTTTTAAGGCAAAAGGAATGACTGCTTCTCTGTCTCAGTTCCGAACTACCTGTGTAGTTTTGGGCAATGTGTTAGTTAGTTAGTCCTGCAAAACTGAGCCAAGGCCGGGCGCGGTGGCTCACGCCTGTAATCCCAGCACTTTGGGAGGCCGAGGCGGGTGGATCATGAGGTCAGGAGATCGAGACCATCCTGGCTAACAAGGTGAAACCCCGTCTCTACTAAAAATACAAAAAATTAGCCGGGAGCGGTGGCGGGCGCCTGTAGTCCCAGCTACTCGGGAGGCTGAGGCAGGAGAATGGCGTGAACCCGGGAAGCGGAGCTTGCAGTGAGCCGAGATTGCGCCACTGCAGTCCGCAGTCCGGCCTGGGCGACAGAGCGAGACTCCGTCTCAAAAAAAAAAAAAAAAAAAAAAAAAAAAAAACTGAGCCAAAACTCAGTGGCTGCAATGACCAACCATTTCTTACTCTTTACAGGTCTGGTCAGCTGATCGCAATTGGGTTTAGCCAGGGTGGCTGTGCTCCATGTCCTTCTCATCCTTCTCCTGGGACCCATAAGTCAGCCTGGGCACGTCCTCCTGATGGTGGGGGTGGAGGGTCAAGGACATAAATGGAAGCATGCAAGTTGCTTTGAGGCTGGAACTCAGAATGATTGCTTCCCTCTTTTTCTGACGGCCAATGCAAGTGATAAAGCCAGCGTCCCAGTCAAGGAGTGGGGTAATATTCCCCACTCCTTATGTGACAAATGAAAGTCCCATGGTAAAGAGGATGGATAGAGAAGAGTGAGAAACTTAGCCAGACATGCCATCTACCACAGGTAATTCTCTTACATTCCTAGACATATTTTCCTCATTTCTAGAACAGGAAAATAATCCATTTTTCAAAAGAAGACATACAAATGGCCAACAGGCATGTACAAAAATTTTCAACATCACTAGTCATCAGCAAAATACAAATTAAAACCACAATGAGATATCTCACATCAGTCAGAGTGGTTATTATTAAGGTAAAAATATAACAGATGTTGGCAAGGATGTGGAGAAAAGGGAATGCTTATAAACTGTTGGTGGGAATGAAAATTAGTACAACCTCTATGGAAAACAGTATGAAGATTTCTCAAAGTACTGAAAATAGAACCACCATTTGATCCAGCAATCCCACTTTTGGGCATCTACCCAAAAGAAAAGAAATAACTATATAAAAAGATGCCTACATTCTTAAGTTTCCCTCAGCACTGTTCACAATAGCAAAAACGTGGAATCAACCTAAGTGGTTATCAACAGAGGATTGAATAAAGAAAATGTGGCATGTATACACCATGATATACTACTCAGCCATGAAAAATGAAATTATGTTTTTTGCAACAACCTGCACGAAACTGGAGGCCATTATCTTAAGTGAAATAACTCAGAAAGAGAAAGTCTTATACCACATGTAGATGACTCACTTATAAGTGGGAGCTAAGTAATGTGTTCACATGGACATAGAGAGCAGACTAACAGGCACTGGAGAATTGAAGAGGTGGGAGGGTCGGAGAAGGGGTGAGTGATAAGAAATTACTTAATGTGTACCAAGGACACTGTTTGGATGATGGTTACACTAAAATCCCAGACTTCTCCACTACGCAATATATCCATGTAACAAAACTACACTTATATTCCCTAAATCTATCAAAATAAAAAATACATAAAAATAAATAAAAGACATTCATAATATCTGTCCCTTCACCTCAGTCATAATGAAGGTAAATATAATACATAGTGTATGTGGATGTTTTTACTCAGCAGTAAAGCATAACACAACGTAAGGAGTAATTATTTTGCATGTGCTTATATTCTCTCCTGATAGCAGAAATAAAATTCTTGTAATGGCCTCCTTTCCCTAAGCCTCCAATGCCATCCCTTAACCTCTTGCATGAGATTCTGCATAGATTGTCCTCCCTGATAAATGCTTCCTGAAGAAGTGTAAGATGGAAGTTTCTACAATGACCTTGAACATATCCAGATAAACAATTCAGAAAAATAAAACCCTTGCATGTTGCTGATGTTTTCTGATAAGGGTGAAGACAATGTGGGAGAGGCCCCATTGATCAGACAAGTCTTCGCGAGTTCTTTCTCCACAGTGACAGTGGGTGTTTCTGCTCTGCTCATTTCACACACTCCTGTCGCGTTTACGCCCAAAGCATTAGTGGCTAAGAGAGTTAGCCTGGGTTCCGGAAGTAGACAAATGGAAGGATGCTACCTAAAACTGATGTAGAATCTTTATCTTTTTAGCATTAGGCTTCAGCTAAAAGTGAGTTAATCTGCCATAAGTTTTCAGAATATTGTTCTGAGTTGAGAATATTGTTCTAAACATGTTCACGTACTTGTTCAGAGTTACTAGTTTATTAAAAAAAACTATTGACTCCCTAGGGTAAATAATATAGAACTCAGCAATCTATGGGATATATTGGTGATTCCAATGGGGACAGTGGTGGAAGAGACAGAGTTTTGCATATCTGTGCTATGATTTTTAAAAACATTTTGTATCTTTAATGTATTAAGTAGCAAGGAAAAATATTTTATTTATGATAACTATTTAAATAATATTTACAATGACTTTATGGGTACATATATCTACATTTTTATATCAAAGTATTTTTTAAAAAGATAAGCATTTGTATCACTGCAATAATGTATAGAAACATAATCGAAGACCAAATACATCTCGGGCCATAATTTTACCACTTCTAAATTCTTATTTTCAAGAAAAATTAAGGGTAATTTAACTCACTACTGTTTTCCAAAATGTTCTAATCAACTTGTCACATACTAAAACTAAGTTGCCACCATGCTAACTTAGACTTAGGGATTTGTAAGGGTAACAAATGTTTTAGAAACTTAAAACATAACTTTTTTGTTGAAATTTTATTTTTGCTTAGAATGCAAAAGAAGAAAACAAGGAGTTTTATTTTTTTCCAGCTAAAAGTATTTGGGTAAACTTAGCTAGGTTTAAGATGGGTCTTGTTTTAAATATTTTAAATACATTTCTGAAAAGGCACTGATATGAGTTCCAGTTCTGAATGCCACAGTTATTTTCCCAAATTGTAGTGTTTTTTGTTGTTTTTGTTTTGTTTTTTCTTGAGACAGGGTTTCATTCTGTCACTCTGCAGTCCAGGCTAAAGTGCAGTGGTGAGATCATAGCTCACTGCGGCCTTAGCCTCCTGAGTAGCTGGGACTACAGGTGAGCACCACCGTGCTTGACTAATTCTTAAAAAAAATTAAATTGTAGAGATGAAATCTCAGTATGTTATTCAGGCTGGTCTTGAATTTCTGGCCTCAAAGAATCCTCCTGCCTTGGTCTCCCAAAGCACTGGCATTACTGGTATGAGCCATCATGCCCGGCCTTCCTAGATTGTTTTTCGGCAGATATGTAAACCAGGAGATCTGTGGATATGAATATAATCTGAAATTTGAAAGATGAAAGAAGTGACCAAGCTGATTCAGAATTAAAGTCTGTACAAAGACCAAGCCATGCAGAGTAAAAGAGGTAAAAGTGGTAAAAGAGGAAACACCCAGGAGAAAGAGACACATCATGATCCTTTCCCACTGTTAGCGACTGAATCTAAAGGCATGTTAATGTTAAGCTTTAAAATGGTGTACTTCTGTTGTAAAATTGCAGCTAAGTTCTTTTCAAGGTAGCAATACCATTCAGGTTGCTCAAATGTTTTGATTGGATTAAAATAAAAACTTTTGGAAACAAATCTATTTACAAAGTCCATGCAATCCTTCAGATGTGTGTATTTTTTCTCTCCCTAGCTCGTTCTTTTTCTTTGAAAAGCAGTGCCTTGCAGCTCCTTTTCCTGAGACAGAAAAAAAAAAAAAAATCAATGATCAACAACAGTCCAGTATTCAAGAACAACCTAGAAATAACAAATCAGTCTGTGTGTGTGACAGAAAAGGAGAGTGTATGTAGTAGGAAAAGCAGCTACCGTTTCAGACTTTCACAGGGCAGTTACAAGAAAGAGTGGGCAGCCAGGCAGAGGCGCTCCTCACTTCCCAGACAGTGGGACGGCCGGGCAGAGGGGCTCCTCACTTCCCAGATGGTGCTGGGATCAGGCAGAGACGCTCCTCAGGTCTCGATCTCTTGACCTCATGATCCGCCTGCCTCGGCCTCCCAAAGTGCTGGGATTACAGGCGTGAGCCACCGCGCCTGCCCTGCCATGTCTTTCTCCTCCCAAGCGGCTGTTTTCATTTCCTGGATTTTGATGTTCTACTTAATACCCCCATGATCTTATCCATGTTGCCCTGCTGGAGGCTTCTTTCCCTTTGGGAAGTCTGACCCAGCTCCCATCAGTGCCTCAGCAGACAGGCAGTGGGAGGTTAAGCTTGCCTCTGAGACAGGAATCCTCACGGGGCTGAGGTGTCCGAACATGATGGAGTTGCGAGCAGACAGCATGGATTTCTTTCTTGAGGGGAGCCTCCAGACCACAGAAGTCAGGAGGTGCCCCAGTGGGGTGCCCGTGTTCTGAGGGAGAAGACACAGCCTTGTAGGGGCGCCATCCCACCTGGCTGGAAAAGAAGGCCTAGGACATCGCAGAGGGTTGAAGAGGAATTGGGAAGAGCCCAGGGTTCCCGGGGCAGGCACAGGCACAGGAGCCGCAGGGGGGGCCCCGCCAGCTGGGAAGGCCTCACGGACAAGATTAGCAGGTTGCCAATGGCGTGGCCTGGACCGCTGGTGGAACCAGGACAAAATATTCTTAGACAAGCACGTTGCCTATGGCGTGGCCGAGACCTGCAGCGGAACCTAGGGAGGCCAAGGCGGGTGGATCACGAGGTCAGGAGATGGAGACCATCCTGGCTAACACGGTGAAACCCCGTCTCTACTAAAAATACAGAAAAATTAGCCAGGGGTGGTGGCGGCGGGCGCCTGCAGTCCCAGCTACTCGGGAGGCTGAGGCAGGAGAATGGCGTGAACCCGGGAGGCGGAACTTGCAGTGAGCCGAGATCGCGCCACTGTACTCCATCCTAGGTGACAGAGCGAGACTCTGTCTCAAAAAAAAAAAAAAAAAAAAAAAAAAGCTTAGAAGAGCACGTTGCCTGTGGCATGGCCGGGACCTGCAGCAGAACCAGGAACAAAATATGCCTAGTGAATTGCCCATTTTGAGCGAGTTGTGTGCGGAAGAAACTGAGGGTCAGAGGCGGAGAGGTTACTCCATAGTCACCCACTTCTCTGTGGCCTGCGCGCACTGGGCACCTGGGACATCACGGTGGGGCTGGTGATAGAGCCAGGGTGTGGAGGAGTGCACAGGAGCCCAGCGAGGAGCGCCTACAAGAGGAGTCAAAGGGCAAACCGCTAGGCCCCTCCACCGGTCCAGCTGGACTCTCTAGCCTCAGGGACGTCCTGCTCCTGGGGGCAGGTGTGTGATTCTGGATGGGCCCCGCTGTGGGGCTGTGGGGCTGTGAGGGGTGCAGGACTGATCCGCCAGAGCCCTTCCCGCCTGGTGCCTGGCCCAGGCGCTGACTAGCACCCCATGGCCCTGTCTTGGCTGGCCCTGTCCCCCGGGTTACAGGGCCAGAACCTGCTGGAAGCAGGGCGCAGGACCAGCCAGATCCCACCAGGCTCCCTCAGGGCCTCTCCAGTGCCTCTGTGCCGCCTGGAGCCAGGCCCGCCTTCTCCGTGGCCGCCCTGGCCTTGAGGGCCACCAGCCTGGCTGCGCAGGTTTCCAAGTAGAGGACGTGGTGCCCTGACCTGACTGGATGGTGCCCTTTACCACATCCCCTCCTGGCAGGCAGGGTCTCCACTTCTTTTTACAAATCCGCCTGAGACCATTCCTCAGGTCATTCAGGCAGTCATGGCCCAGCCAGCCTTTGAGCCCATGCTCTGCGATTCCACAGCTGGCACTCTGGCCTGTGTGCCTCCTGATCACGGATACAGGATGTATTCTTATTTTTTCCTGTAGTCCTGGGGTACTTAGCACCGTGGCATATCTGTAATAAGCACATGCACACCTAGAAGGAGGTCTTTACTTCAACATGTAAGTTGACCATGGCCCAATCTGGGCTCCAGTCCTCTACAAAGATGTAGGGCAGGGACTACCAGTTGTCAGCACAGCACCATCCCACATTGCCCTCCTAATGGTGCCTTTCAGCCCAGATGTTCTTCTTTGTCTGGTGGGAAGGATCCAAGTATGTAAAGATTATGTTCTAGATCAGCTTTGGTCTATCCTAAAAGAAATTCACTAGTGGATTATTCCACATAGATAAACGTCAGTTTCTCTAGTCTTCCTGGAATGTGTCTAGAAAGCAAGTACATTATTTATTTACAAGTTAATAGTGGATCAATGTTTTGGATTAAAATATAACCAACATAATTTGGTCATTGTGAGCATGCCAGCTCTGTCCACTCTTCACCACACATTATGATACCCTAAATATAACTCTAGATTTTCTTATGCCCAAGAGAAGGACATACCCTTGGGTGTCTGGACTAGTGAAACATGTATGAAAAAACATTCGGCCACTCTACATCTTTTTATTGGAGAATTGGAAATATCTATATTTAAAGATATTATTAAAAGGCAAGAAGTTAAAAAAAGAAAAAGAAAGAGTGCAGAAAACGTGATTGGGGAAAGGTGAGGGAAAGCACCAATTCCACCTAAAATTATGAAAACCCTAGAGTTTGTATTTAGCTGGCTTCCTCCCACCTTCTTTGTGTGGCCAGCTCTGCCGTCTCCCTCAACTTGCTGACACTGAGCAGATCTATGTGTCTCTTTGCTGTTGCACAGGGACGCAGGATTAGTCGGTAACAATATCAGAGGCAGCAACAGTGGATGCCTGACTTGGGGTTCATTGAGTATGACTGGCTAAAAGCTAGGGCTTTACAGCAAACAGCAAAACAAGTCAAACTTCTTGCAGGTAACAAAAGACGTTAGATTTGGAAGTCAAATAGCTGTGATTTCTAATCCAGACTCCCTAGCATGGCCTTAGACAAGTGTCTAACTCTTCTTTATCTGTTTTTTTCATCTAGGGGAGGACAAGAAATGAACACTTAGCACAAACATATTATTGTGACAATTACATCAGGTAAGGCATAGAAATGACCTAACATGATGGCTTGAACATAGTAGGCACTTATACATGATCTAAGTGGTATTAGGAAAACAGGAGGTGTTCTTTGCTGTACTAATTATTCATATGAGGATTTACAGCCTGCTAAAGGCAATGGTAGCCTGTGGATTTGTGTGTAACTCTGAGTGATTGACAACATCTGCCTGGAGAATTGGGATGAGAACGATTTTGAGAAAGGGCTCAGCAAGAAATAATGTGGTGATGGATATGGCTCTCTGTTGTGAGTGAGAAAAGAGAGAATGGGGCCAAATATGCCGTGCATTTACTATTTCTCAGTAAGCACCAATAGACAAATACAAATAAATAAAAATAATATACACATATCTGATCTTCAAGGACCACATGACCTAGCAGGCAATAAACACCAATAAACTGTCTGGGCGCAGTGGACAGGAGCTCAAGACTAGCCAGGGCAACATAGTGAGACTCCATCTCTACAAAAAAAAGTGTGCGTGTGTGTGTGTGTGTGTGTGTGTGTTAGCCAGGCATGGTGGTGCACACCTGTAGTTCCAGCTACTTGGGAGGCAGAGGTGGGAGGACCACTTGATCCTTGAGCCTGGGGGGTCCAGGCTGCAGTGAGCTATGATCATCCCACTACACTCCAGCCTGGGTGACAAAGCAAGACCTTATTTCCAAACAAACAAACAAACAAACAGCCAACTAAGTATTATAAAAGCTATCATACTTTCTAGTACCTGAATAATCTGAGAAGATACTCTTGGCATGCTAATCACACCAGGGAGTGTCACTAAAAGCTTCCTAAAGGGACAATGACAAATAGCCATGTGGAAGGCAGAGGGAAAGTAGCAGGTATTCCTCTAAGACAGAACAACACCATCAAAGGCAGAGTCAGGTAAAACTTCACTATGGAGTTCAACAGCATGTAAATTTGGATAAGAATATTTTTACAGGGAATTGGCTGGAGAGGAAATGGTTGAGATAGGGAGGTTTGTGTACCACATTAAGCTCTACTAAGGTACTTCATTGACTTGACTTGGGCTATGTGGGAAGGAGTAATCCAGTTCATAGCTCCCAGAAATCCCCATTCACGTGCGTTGAAAGCAATTTGCTTGACAAGTTGAAACTTACAAACTGATGAGATGCCATTCATTTTTATGTGTGGCTTCATTCTACTGACATGATCTGTGCCACTTCAGTAATGAAGTAGAACCTAATGATTATCATTGTATCATCATAAATATAGGCAAAAACAATAATGGAAAGCATGGATTTCTAGTGGACAGCTATTGTTCATTTGGTTTCCTAGGACTGCTATGTCCTTTCTTCATTACTAATTATTTTCTCATGCCCCTGGGAAGCCTGTAAAAATTTCCCCTGAAAGAATTAACCATCCTGCCTCTGTGTATCCAAAGCACATTGCTTATATCTTTGTCATGGTCTTTGTTCTATTAAGCCAGAATCTTGTTAGTGTTTCCACTTGTTAAGCTGATGGAAGATGTCAGCTCTGTTCTGTAAACTTCTGAAAGACAAGGACCAGAGCTTATTTGTCAGTGTACCTCTCACAATTCTCAGCCCTGTGCTTTGCACACAGCAGATGACCAATAAGTGTGTGCCTGCGTGAACTGACTGACGATTATTATTTGATGTTTGAATTTTAGTCATCATTATAATGGTATTGGTCATCTATCAAGTTTGCACTATAGTTCATAAAGCTGTGTTTCTTAATACTTGCCATGTTATCAAGTTATTTTTATTCCAAAAATGGATTAATGGATAAAGGCTGCAATGAGCTTAAATCAAATATCTGTGGCTTATGAAAATAAAGCATAAAGCAACTATAACTATGACTTTGGTTATAACTGTAGCATATTAATACATTAAACCAACTGAACCCTCAGTAGACACATTGAGGTTGTCAGTTTTTAGGGTAAAATTCCACTGGCTTTATAACAAACCATCAAAGAATCACAATGTCTTATTTTAACCACACAGTAGTGTATAGTTAAATGTGGGGGGTGTTCTAGGTCTAGTGGAGATTAGAGGACTAACTGAGGAAATGAAGACTAATGAAAATTAGTGATAATTATTTGTTAAGCCCAGAAAGAACTGCAGGAGGAGTGAACTATGATAATTATGGGCAGAAGAAAGGAGAGGTGACTTTTCAAAAAGAGAAGCAACTATAACTTTTTCTGTTTCTTTAATAAAGGGCTATGAAGAAGGCATGGAAGACAAGGATAACTCAGGGAACAGAGAAGATGGCAGCACAGATAGTGTCACTTGGGGTTTTGAGAAAGGCGATAGATATTGGCTGCCACTCAGATCATGTGGGATAATGATGCTAGAACAGGTTTCCACCTTCATTCATATGCAGGAGGTACCATTCAAATATTTGATTTCAATCAGTAACGCATTTTGGCATTCTGTGAAATGCAATGTGATTTTAGTTACATGTTATTTCATCATGTTACAAATGTACATTGAAATAACAATACAGTTGGATTATCTGCGATGGAGTTTAGATATTTCCAGGAATGTTGCTGAGTGGGTTGCTTAGGCAAAGGAGATAAGCAAGCAATGTGACATTCACTGAAAATAATTCTCATGGAATTGATTTTCACAGGCATTGACTCGAATGCTGTGCCAGCTCCATAAGACACCATGGAATCATAGAGGAAACGATCTCAGTTTTAAAGAGGACTGACTTTGTTTCGATGCTCCTTAATTTCCAAACTTGTTTTAACTCTTCTACCAGAGACTGACTCTGTTTTATATCTCAGTCCAATTGTCCCAGTGATTGTTGTGCTCACACCTTTACATCATTAATAATTCCATATGACTGTGGACATACCTTCCATTAACTATTGAAGTATTTCCTAAGTAGAGTAGTAAGACAAAGCCCAGGGTCATGAATTGCTGAAACTCTAAAGCCATTGCAGTTTATCCTGGATACCTTTTGTTCTAGTTCATTCTTTCTTGGCTTTTAGGTAGGTATAACTTTTTTCTCCCATCAAATTTTACACTCAGGGTAGAATCCAGAATTAGTTAACTAGACTTTGATATGAGTTTGACACGATGTTCACAGATATCATTGACTTTTAGATATGAAAATGATTGTAAATATATCCTAGTCCAATCTCCATGTGTTATATTGTTATATATAAGAAAGCTGTGTCTCAGAGATAAGCTTTGGATTCCACAGCATGTTAGTGGCAGATCAGGGAGCCTGGAGCTTAGGTTAGAGAGTATAATAATTGTTTTTGATTGCAAACAATGGAAGGCTCAATATAAATTGCCTTAAGAAAAAGACAGGTTTGGAAGATAAGAAATATGCTGGCTCATGTCATTGGCCATTCCAGGGGATGATCTAAACATGGCATGCCTTTCCTTCTGCCAGTTTTCAAATGTTCTTCTCTGGAGTCACTTCCATTGTCACTCTGCTGCTCTTCTGTGCTTTTACGATGACTACCAGCAGCTCTAGGTTGGATACCTCATTTACATTCGGGAGGAAAAGAGAGCCTTTTTATCTCAGCATTCTCAGCAAAATTCCAAGGTTCACACTAACTTGTCCAGCTGAGATTCCATGCCTTCTGCTGAACCAAGTGGGTGGACACTGAGAGCAAAATTTCTAATATTCTGAAGTTTCAGTTCCCCAGAACAGTGTATCAAAACTAAAGAAGTAAATAAACTGCTTCTTTCACCAATACTTTGCAAAATGATAGTCCTGGATATCCTGTGAAGCTGGTCTCCACTGGTTACAGAGAAGTGTTGGGCAGGTGGCTGGATGCTCATTGCAACTAGGATGAGCAGGAATTGACACTCGAATCATACCTTTTGTTCAGCCCTCTCCCCCACTCTGTCAGTAACCATGACTCCCAAGGACTTGAAGCCTGCCTGCTTCTCTGGGTTGCATGGTGCACTCAATATTTTTTTTCTCCCACTGCCCCCTCTCTATGGACGTTTTATGTGCTATGAGTCATGGAACTGAGTTCCATATCTCAGGTAGGCCCATAGGTAATGTTTCTACAGTGGTATCCCATTCTCCTTCCAAATCCCTGCTGCTTTCCAGTCTGTAGACAAAGGCCAGGGAGTAACATCAAAAGCAGTAAAGTCCTTCCTTTGAATTGCCTCTTAGTCTCTGGCTTTTCCTGGATTTTTCAAAACTGCTTGGACCCTGCCTTCGTGCTTCCTTAGGATTTTGCTCACAGAGCTACTGTGCACTTGGACCTCATAGATTAGAGCATGTGGGGTTTCATACCACATCCAATAGGATAGATAGTTAAAGTCCTTACTCCTTCTGTCCATTCCAAAAGCCTCTTGATTTCTGCTCACCTCCATCCCAAATTTTCTTACAGTTTTCCCTACTACGTCACCATCTACAGCTCCAAACCTCCTCTGGGGAGTTCACATGAGGATGATGATGTCCAGAAACGTCAAGTGACTTTTCTAAGGCCACACTGTTAGTAAATAGCAGAGTATGACTAAGTCTCTTAATGCTAATTGTCAATTTAATAGAAAAAAGTGGAAACAATTATCAAATTACTAAAATCACTTTCAACCCAGCACGTGCTGAATACTTTGATTATAGCAATGCTAAAAATAACTTCCAAATTTATAATTTAGGGCAAGGGATGTGAGAAGGTAGACATTAGTCACAATGAGACAAAATAAGAGAGAATTGATGGTCTATTACCTTAAGCATTCACCTTTCTAGGAAACTGTCAGGAAGTCAGAAAATTACATAAACATAATGAGAGTATGACTCAAACTATTTTTCCTTAAACTTAATAGTAAAAACATATAATCTCTAAATTATTACTTGTTTTCTTGCTTCAAGGTCAAAGTGAATAGCACATCTTTGGAATGCTCTCCATTAGGAGTGATTGACAAAAATTTCTTGTGAATTAACTACTCCCAGTGTAAACATATTCTTGCATAAATGAATGAATGTATGTCCGTTAAAAGCATGTTACAGTCTAATAAATCAAGGAAACCATTGTCTGACTATTAACTAGATGACACACTTGAAAAAATGTTTTTTTTCTGATCCTGAATTCAGTATTTGGAAGTTCAAACTCTTCTAGTTTTGATTCCAAGGCAGATAGTCTCATGTAGACAGGTAAAATATCTTATTGAAGAAATCAGAAAGTGACCTCTTCAAACTGAATTAATTTCACTCAAGTTCAATAGCAGAAAAAATGGTTTAGATTAAAAAATAGCTCTGGTTAATTATGACATTCCATTCTACTCTGATTCTATCAAATTTTCAGATAAGGACTGATCTTTGGGAGCTTATCAGAGCTGCTTGAATATTTTTTCTCTTTGCTTGGGCTTTAAATCTTTCTTAGCAAATTGCACAATGCTGCTGAATAGCTGATATTTAGTGATTCTTAAAGTTTTGACTTAAAAGATGGTAATTGCTAACATAGTAGTGCCATGAGTTTAACAGAAGAAAAATAGTCAAAATGCTTTACTTTGGCTTTTTCTAGAATACTATTTTTTTCTCTTTGGCAATGCTTTTCAAATCCTTTGCTTCAAGCTGATCTCGGTAATTAAAGAATGATTTTTAAAACTCTCCAAAAGGATTCTGCATATTAAAATTCATTAAAATGCAATGTTCACAACACAGGATATTTTATTGTAACTATCTATGGAGGGTAAAATGGGAAGGAAATTAGGTGCTTCCTCTATATTCATTACTCATGCGTGTTTATTAAAATTTAGTTATATAAATGAGAACTTGACACATTAACAAGTAGTTATATGGCTGTTAACTCAATTTCTCTTTAAAGACTTGAGAAAATAAGGGAAAAATGAAAGTTAAAAAGAAGACCCTATTTATTGAACTACAGCCATTTCATTCTCATGAAAATGGTATGTTCATGGCCAATGCAGTTAATTTACTGGTGAACAAAAGTAGTCCAAACTAGTTCATTGAAATAATATAGTGCAAATCCACTGACCTCAGAAATAACCTCAGAAACTTATATCTAAGCTTAAAAGGGGCCGTTGTCTGGGCGCGGTGGCTCATGCCTGTAATCCCAGCACTTTGGGAGGCCAAGGCGGGTGGATCGCCTGAGGTCAGGTGTTTGAGACTAGCCTGGCCAACATAGTGAAACCCTATCTCTACTAAAAATACAAAGAAACTTGCTGGGCGTGGTGGTGGGCACCTATAATCCCAGCTACTCGGGAGGCTGAGGCAGGAGAATCGCCTGAACCTGGGAGGCAGAGGTTGCAGTGAGCCGAGATTGTACCATTCCACTCCAGCCTGGGCAACAAGAGTGAAACTCCGTCTCAAAAAAAATAAAATAAAATAAAATAAAATAAAAAGGCTGGGGGGCAGGGGCATTGTAACTAAACAGGTAGGGGGATCACTCACATAAGTTACTGGACATTATGGAAACATAGCAACTAGATAATGGATATAATTTCCCCTAGACCGAAGTGTTGTCATGGAGACACAACCAAAGTGAGCCATGTAGTAGAAGCCTAGTGGGGAAGATCCATGCCAAATCGTTAGTGACACCTGGCTGTAGCCAGCCCTGGGGATGGACTGACAGGTAAGAAGTCCTCACCTGGACTTCTTATACTCATAAATACTCTGGATAACAGTCATTGTGAGTGAAAGGAAGATTTAGGAAGAGTTGTTACAGGCATTCCAAGAGGTCTGACTTTTAAAAAATGCTACAAAATACATGGTGACTTGCCCAGTAACATCAGTTCAAATCATTTTGATAATCAATTTATAATTTCTTCTAATTAAGATGAATGATAGTTTTAACAAACAAAGGTTTAGTCTGAAAATTCTTTTTTGGCTCAAAACCAAGCCTTTTATTCATGTTTTAGCTTATAACATCTCTTAGCACTTTGCCTTTATAAATGAGATTCTTGTGTTTTTATTTAACATTTTCTGCTATTTATATCATGCCTTTATAAGTTGACTAATATCATCTAGAGGATAAATCGTCTGGATGATTCTTCTTTTACCCCCATTCTTTCTATTACTCCTTCTCCACAGACTTTAAGTAAATATTTGATGATTTAATTGGATCTGGTTGTATGGTATAGGTGGAACGTGGCCCTACCTATTTGCCCCTCAATCCTGGAAAGTCATGAATCTTGCTTAACCTAGTCCAGTGACAGAAGATAAATGGCTTATCCACTGGCTCTTGAAAATGAGTAGGATAAAAATCTTTGTAAGCAGGGGCATTCCTGGAGCCCCCATGTTCCTGAACACCTACTGTTGCCCTATCTAAGTGAGGAGTCAGTGGGAGTTTATTACATAGAGCAAATGGGGTTATTTTCCAGGGATGGGATAGATAGACCCCATCTATCTATCCCATCAACTTGATCCAATTAAATCAGCAAATATTTACTTAAAGTCTGTGGAGAAGGAGTAATAGAAAGAATAGGGGTAAAAGAAGAATCATACAAACCATTTATCCTCTAGGTGATATTAGTCAACTTAGAAAGAATAAAATGTGTCCTCTTGAAAACTCTGGTTTGAGCGAGCACAACTGTTCTCAATCTACATGAAATGCTGCTCTTGATAATAGAGTGACATTTAAGAGCAGATTTAAAAATGTGCCATGCTTAAAAAAAATTAACTACTTGTCTCAAGGCATGTGACAAAAATCCATCCTCTATAAATGTCATTGATAAGAAATTTTCATATAAAAATTTTCCACATTAGAATGTGTGTGTCTGTGTGTGTGTGTGTGCATGCATAGGGAGCTTCTTAAGACACGAACAAATTATTGAGTTAGATCATTATGACATCTGATGAAGTCATCAAATAAACACAAAAACAAACATTCAACATATTTGCCTTTTATGTTTGATAAATGCCTACACATTTCACTTAAAGTGTACAAAGAACTGGATCAGGGGACATACACATTTTGGCAGAGCTGAGGAGGTAAGGAAAGATCTATACCACAGTTAGCAGTGTGGTATTCTCACCTTGAGCAGATGGCATAAAAGACCAGATTCTAGCAAGGGGTTGGTGCCGCATTAGGAGAGGCACACCAACATTAAAGTGCTCAAAGGACAACTTTTGTAAACTTCACAGTTTAGTTCAGAGGCTTTCATGAGTAGTGAGTTAGAATTTTGGCTGCCTATTCCAATAATTAGATCTCCTCAAAATGACTCTTCTTCCCTTTACCATGGTAAGCCCTTTTAGAATGGCTCGTGAACTAGATTAGAGTCATTGAAGTCAATTTCAAGATCTGGAAATACCAGAAAGAAAATTAGAAAAAAAGAGAAATATTTCCCTTTGAATCTTCATAGACTGAGAACCTCATAGACATTTACCAAATAATAACCAAGAAATAGTTTTGGAAATACAGAAGGAATAACAAGTGTCTACTATTTTAGGAAACCTTGAATGGAAATATAAATGGAGGAAAGATTTACAGATAATTTTATTTTTCTTCTTCGTGACTTTTTATCTTTTTTTACACAGTATACAATAATCATTCTTATTATAATTTATAAAATTTTATATTTTTATAGTTGTTTGAAATATGCTGTTCTGTCAGACTGAAAGTTTCATTAACATATGGTTCTGACTATTGTGTTTCTTACAATATCCACAGTCCCTAGGATAAGATCTAGCAAATGCATGGTAAATATTTCTTATTCGATTAATTGATGAATGATGACTGAATGAAGAGTAAATGAATAAAAAATAAACCATAACCTCTGTTTCCATTCCCATATGTAGGGAGGTTGACAGCCACCAATCTGTCCCAATAGGTAAAAAGTTAAAAAATTGAAAAATCAACCACTCTTCTTAGATTAATAAGTGAGGACCCAGGTCAAACCTGTGTGTCTTACCTCCAGGACTTTGACCAGGTTCTCACAGTAAATATGGAAGAAAAATCTCCCCTAGCTTCTAGCAGGGGAAAAGAAAAGGAGACCACTTAGAAATATGCCAGAAAGCTTTGTTCTTCTTAACAAGGTCTGTTCTCAGCAGAAGCTAGTTAACCAGAGCCTAACCTATTGGGACTTTATTAGAGCCATTCTGACCTGTGGTAGGGAAATATCCAACTCCAGTCCACTTTAGCCTTCCATGTGTGAGAAAAAAATTACCAAATTCCGGCCCACTCTAGCCATGCTGTTCTGCCTAAGGACGGGAGAAAAAGCACAAACAGTTATGAAACTCACAGTTCAGAGGCATAGGCTCACTAAAAGACTGAGAGTTAATCATAGCACTATAGAATGCTCTGACCACCTCATTACTAAAGGACTATTTATAGCAATATCTCTTAGTTAGTACATCCTGTTCAGCTATCAAGAAAAATTTACAATGCATACTAAAAGGAAAAAATACAGTTTGAAGAGACAGAGCATGCATCAGGACGAGACATGACAGGGGTGTTGGAAATATCATACTAGAAATTTAAAACAACTATGATTAGTATGCTAAGGCCTCTAAAGGGTAAAGTAGATAGCATGCAAGAACAAATGGGCAATGTATGCAGAGACATGGAAATCCTAAGAAACAACCAAAGGGAAGTGCTAGAGATCAAAAACACCATAAGAGAAATGAAGAATGCCTTCATAGGGCTTATTAGCAGAGTGGACTCAGCTGAAGAAAAAGCCTCTGAACTTGAGGATATATCAATAGAAAACTCCAGCATTGGAAAACCAAGGGAAGAAAGAATTTAGAAAAGAACAGAATATTCAAGAACTGTGGGAAAACTACCAAAGTTAGAGAGATGTGTAGTGGGAATATTAGAAGAAGAAAGGAAGGAAGAGAAGAAATATTTAAAATATAAAGACAGAGAATTCCCTCAAATTATTGTCAGACTCCAAATCACAGATCCAGAAAGCTCAGAGAACACAAGCAGAATAAGTGCTAAAAACATCACAACTAGGCATATCATTTTCAAACTACAGAAAATCAAACGAAAAAAATTCTGAAAGAAACCAGAGGGGAAAACACAGCTTACCTATAGAGGAGCAAAGATGAGAATTAAATATGACTTCTTGGAAACCATGCAAAGCAGAAGAGAGTGGAGTGAAATATTTAAAGTGTTGAGAGATTTTTAAAAAGCACACCAATCTAGAAGTCTGTATTCTACAAAGTTATTTTTGATAACTGAAGAAAAAATAAAGGTTTTCTCAGACAAATAGAAACTTGAGGGAATTTGTTGCCAGTAGACCTGTCTTGTCAGAAATGTTTAAAAATATTCTTTATAGAGAAAAAAGTAATACAGGTCAGAAACTTGCAACTACATACAGAAAGGAAGGGCATAGAAAAGAAACAAGTGAAGGTAAAATAAAAGCTTACTTTCTAATTCTCTTTTTTCTCCCCAAGACCTGTCTCTCTCTGTTGCCCAGGCTGGAGTGGAGTGATGCCATCACAGCTCGCTGCAGCCTACATCTCCTAGACTCAAGTGATCCTCCCACCTCAGCCTCCCTAGTAGCTGGGACTACATGCATGCACCATCATGCATGTAGCTAATCTTTTTAAAAGTTTTTTGTAGAGATGAGGTTTCTCCATATTGCCTAGGCTGGTCTTAAACTCCTGGGCTCAAGCAATCTACTTGCCTTGGCCTCCCAAAGTGCTGGGTTTATAGTAGTGAGCCATCATGCCTAGCCTATTTTTTAACTCTCATTTGATCTAACAGATAAAAGTTTGTTTGAAATAATAATAGCAGCAATGTATTTAATTAGGTATGCTTATGTATATACTTTATGTATATATATATGCTCATGTATAAGTGAAATGAATGGCAGCAATGATACAAAGGATGGGAGAGAAGAATTAGAATTATTTTGTTATCATAAGGTACTCACAGTACCTGTGAAGCAGTATCATGTTATTTGAAAGTTACCTTGAACGGCAGATGGAAGGGCCCATACTGAGTGCATGTTGCATCACTGCTGTCTTTTAAAAAAAGTAAGTAAGTAAGTAATCCTGAATTAGTCATAAATATTTATTGCAAACTCTAGTTAAAAAAAATATATAACCGATATGCTAAGAAAGGAGGAAACAATGCAGTCTTATAAAATGCTCAATTAAAACAACGGTAGGCAGAAAAAAAGTGGAAGACAAAAACAGAAATAAAGAAGGGTAACAAATTGAAAACAATAGGAAATGTGGTAGATATTAATCTAACATATCAATAATTACTTTGAGCATCAATAATTAAATGCATCAATTAAAAGATAGAGATTGGTGGTATGGATCAAAACACAAGGCCCGACATATGTTATCTACAAGAAACCCACTTTAAATATAAAGATATGTATAGCTTACAAGTAAATGAATGGAGAAAGTTATACCGTGCTAACACTGATAAAAGTGAGAGCATCTATATTAATTTTAGATAAAGGAGACTTCAAAGCAAGAAATTTATCAGGAATAAACAGGGGCACTAAATACTGATAAAGGGGTCAATTGTCCAAGAAAACATAACAATTCTTAACATGTCTGTCCTTAACAGCAGAGCATCAAAATACTGGAGATAAAACTGATATAACTGCAAAGAGAAATAGATATAACTGATATAACTGCAAGGAGAAACTATTATAGTTTGCAGACTTCAACAACTCTCTATCAAAAATAGACAGATACAGCATGTAGATAATCAGTAAGGACATAGGTGAGCTCAACAACAGCACCAATTAACTGAATATAATTGACATCTTTAGACTACTTTTTCCAACAAGAGTAGAGTACATTCTTCTCAAGTTCACATGAAACATTCACAAAGACTGCCTATGTAGTAAATCCAAACCAATTAACAAGCAAACTCTTGGAACCAGTAGGAGACTATAGCAAGAATGCAGGATGCAAGGTTAATATATAAAAGTCAACCACTTTCCTACATATCAGCAATAAAAAAATGAAATTTGACATTTAAAACACAATATCATTTACATTAGCACCACTCAAAATGAAATATGTAGGCACAAATTTAACAAAATATGTAAAAGATATAGATGAGAATAACTATAAAACTCTGATAAAAGAAATCAAAGAGGAATTAATGGAGAGATTGCATGGTTATTGATAGGAAGACTCAAATTGTCAAGATGTCAGTTCTTCTCAACTTGATCTAGGAAACTCAATGCAATCCCAGTCAAAATCTCAGCAAGTTATTTTGTGGATATCAACAAATTCTAAAGTATATATGCAGAGGCAAAACAGCGAGAATAGCCAACACAATATTGAAGAAGAACAAAATTGGAGGGCTAGCAGTATTTAAATTAGAAAAATTATAACAAAAGTATAGTAATAAAGATAATGTGGTATTGGCAAAAGGATAGATGAATAGATTAATGAAAAATAATAAAGAACCCAGAAATAGACCCACATACATATAGTCAAGTGATTTTTAACAAAGAAGCAGAGACAATACAATGGAGAAAAGATAGTCTTTTCAACAAATTATTCTGGAACAACTGGACATCCACATTAAAAAAAAGAATCTAAACACAGATTTATACCCTTTACAAAAATTAGCTCAAAACTGATCACAGGCCTAATGTAATATGAGTTTTATAAAACTCTAGAATATAACAGGAGAAAATCTAAATGACCTTGGTTATGATAATGGCTTTTTATTTTTATTTTTAGAAACAGATACTGTCTCTCTGTGTCACCCAGGGTGAAGTGCAGTGGCACGATCATAGCTGACTAGAGGCTCGAACTCCTGAGCTCAAGTGATTCTCCTGCCTCAGCCTCCTGAGTAGCTGGGACAACAGGTGCATGCCACCATGCCCAGCTTATTTTTAAAATGTTTTGTAGGGATGTAGTCTTGTTATGTTGCCCAGGCTGGTCTTGAACTCTTGGGTTCAAGCAATCCTCCTGCCTCAACCTCCCAATATGCTGGGTATGAGCCACTATGCTCAGCCAATTATGACTTTTTAGATACAACACCAACGGCATGATCCATAAAAGAATTGATAAGCAGGACTTCATTAAAATTAAAAATTTCTGCTCTGTGAAGGACACTATCAAGAGAATGAAAAGCAAAGCCACAGTCTAGAAGAAAATGTTTTCAAAAAACACATCTAATAAAGGATTGTTATCCAAAATATACAAATACCTATTAAAACTTAACAATAAGGGAACAAACAACCAGATTACAAAAATGGGTCAAAGACCTTAACAGTCATCTCATCAAACAGGATATATACCAAATTAACATATGAAAAATTATCCACATCATGTGTCATTAGGCAAATGCAAATTAAACAATAAGATACCACCACACATCTGTTAGAATGGCCAAAATCCAGAACACTGACAACACCAAATGCTGCTTAGGATGTGGAGCAACAGGAACTTTCATTCATTGCTGCCAGAAATGCAAAGTGTTACAGCCACATTGGAAGACAGTTTGGTGGTTTCTTACCACACTGAACTACTCTTACCGTACAATGTAGCAACGAAGTTTCTCGGTATTTAGGCAGTGGAGTTGAAACATATCCATACAAAAACCTGCACACTGATTTTTTTTTTTTTTTTTTGAGATAGAGTCTCGCTCTGTCCCCCAGGCTGGAGTGCAGTGGCACGATCTCGGCTCACTGCAAGCTCCACCTCCCGGGTTCACGCCATCCTCCTGCCTCAGCCTCCTGAGTAGCTGGGACTACAGGCACCCACCACCATGCCCGGCTAATTTTTTGTAGTTTTAGTAGATATGGGGTTTCACCGTGTTAGCCAAGATGGTCTCGATCTCCTGACCTTGTGATCCGCCCACCTCGGCCTCCCAAAGTGCTGGAATTACAGGTGTGAGCCGCCATGCCCAGCCTCTGCACACTGATCTTTACAGCAGCTTTGATTATAATTGCCAAAACTTGGATGCAACCAAAATATCCCTCAGTAGGTCAATGGATCAATAAACTGTGGTACATTCAGACAGTGGAATATTATTCAGTGCTAAGAAGGAAAAAGTTATAAAGCACTGAAAAGATGTGGAGGAAATTTAAGTTTACATTATTAAGTGAAAGAAGCCAATCTGAAAAGGCTACTTACTCTCTCATTCCATTGACATTCTGAAAAAGGCAAAACTATGGAGACAGTAAAATATCAGTAATTGCTAGTGGTTGGGGGGACAGAGGGATGAATAGAACACATAGGATATTTAGGGCAGTGAAAATACTTGGTGTGACATGATAATGGTGGATACATATTATTATACTTTCATCCAAACCTATAGAATGTATAATACCAAGAGCGAACTCTAATTTAAACTATGAACTTTGGGTGATAATGATGCGCTAATGTCAATGCAGGTTCATCAGTTGTAGCAAATGTACCACTCTGATGAGGGATGTTGATAGTGGGAGAGGCTATGCATGTGTGCAGGCAGAATATATTTGGGATATATCCATACTTTTCTCTCAGTTTTCCTGTTAATATAGAACTGCTCTAAAAACAGGGAGACCTTTAAAAATAAAAATAATAATTAAAAAATCATAAAGGAGCCAACATTTGAATTAAAATTTATCACTAGAAGTATGGTCTAAGAAAGTATTATATAGGAAGGAGCGACCAAGCAAATAAAGAGCTAGAACACACTAAAAAATTATCATTATCACTCATTTTTTCATAGCCTAGTTCTAAACTTCTTGATCATTTTTCACTCTAAATCTTATTTTGCTTCACATCCTCTGAGCTTCTGACATCATTATTTGGTTTCCTGTATATAACTTCCAAGTAACCCAGATCAGTCTTATTATCCATCATCTGGAATTTCTCACTGCCTTGGCATGCCTTCCATATTGCAATCCCTGGGACCCACATTCGAATGAATCACATATGAGGTTAGTGTGATCTTCGACACAGTGCTGTGTGGGCTGCTGAATTTACTGCCTTTGCCTGACTTGGGCTCTGTGGATAGATTTCCCAACTGCACACAAGGTTTCAGCATACTTTGGGGGTCTACAATCCCGGTGTTGGCCATACTCCACTTAGCTCAGTTCTAACAATTTTCTGTGGTGACACACGTTGTAGGTAGGTTTTCAAATGAAATTCAGAAAATCACTCACCCTTTGAAGAAATGTGTCTCAAGGCAGAAAGAAAAGGTTGACATCAGCAAAAATGACATATTAGAGAATTCCAAAAGTTTATTCCTACACAAAAACAACAAATAAACTGGCAAAACTGTCAGAATCAACTTTCATAGAACTCTGGAAACTAACCAGATATAACCAAATGCTTGTAACAAACAGAAAAATGCTTAATAAACAAAAAAACCAACTGAATATCAATAAGAGAGCTTTGTGGCATTTTAACTTACCCTAATCCCACCCCTCAGAATTCTATATTTGGTAAAACTATCCTTCAAAACTGAAGAAAAACTAAAACATTTCCATTCAAACAAAAATCGAGTTTGTTACTAATAGACCTGCCCTACAATAAATGTTAATGATAATTGTTCAGGCTGAAATGAATATACTTTTGGTTTTTAACTCTTTTTCTTATATAATGAAGAAAACCGCATAATTCAATAATTATAAGTTGATGTTCATGGCAGCACGGTATAAAAAGATACAATTTGTGACAATAATAACATAAACAGAAGACAGCAATATCATGTATATACTAACAAAAACAAATTGGTAATAATCTGAGCTAAATTATCATAAATTAAGATGTAAATTGTAATCAGCAGAACAACCACTAAGAAAATAACTAAAACATATTTAGTAAAAGAAAAAAAGGAAATTGTGATTCATTAGAAAATATTTATTTAACACAAAAGAAGACGTAGAAATTGAAGAACAAAAAAGATATAACATACAAAAATCAATGAAAAGTGGCAGAAATAAATACTTTTTTATCAGTAATTACATTAAATGTAAATTTAATAAACTTTCCAATTAAATGGTAGATACTTGCAGATTGGATCAAAAAATAATCCAAGTATGGGCTTTCTACAAAACACTCATTTTAGACGTAAAGACACACATAAGTTGAAGGTAAAAGGATGGAAAAAGATATTTCAGGCAAATAGTAATCAAAAGAGAACAGGAGGGGCTATACTAATACCAAACAAAATAGACTCAAATACAAAAACTTTTTTAAAGAGACGAGGATATTATATAATGATAAAAGTGTCAGTCACCTAAGATGTTGTAACAATTAGTTGCATTTATGCCCCTAATAACGGAGCATCAAAATATATCAATTGAATAACAACAGAATTGATGGGAGAAATAGGTAGAGACTACAATACTCCTGTTTCAGTAACGAAAAGAACAACCAAATATATGAACATCAAGCAAAAAGAAGATTAGAGTAACACATAAATCAGCTAGACCTGACAGACATGCACAGAACAATCCACTCAACAACAGATACACATTCTTCTCAAGTGAAAATGAAGCATTACTCAGCATGGACCATGTATGTGGTCACTAAACAACCTCAATAAATCAAAAAAGATGGAAATCATAAAGGTGTCTTCCCTGATCATAGTGGAATAAAATTAGAAGTCAGTAGTCAAAGGAAATCTGGAAAATGTACAAATATGTGAAAACTAATCAACTCAAATAACCAATGTATCAAAGAAGAAACCACATAAAAAACTTAGAAAATTCTTTGAGATAAATAAAAATGAAAAACTAACATACTAAAATGTACGGGGATGCAGAAAAATCAGTGCTCAGAAGGAATTTATGGCTATGAATGCCTACATTAAAAAGAAATATAGATTACAAACATATAGCTCAACTTCTACCATAAGAAATTAGAAAAAGAAGAACTAAACTCAATGCAAAAGAAAGAGAGGAACTAACAAAGATTTAGAATGGAAATAACAAAAAAAAGAATAAAAAATCAGGTGATTCAGCAAAACCAAAATTGGTTCTTTGAGAAAATCAATAAAACTGACACATTTTTAGCTAGAATGACCAAAGGAAAAAGAAGACCATTTTAATTAATGACACATTTGAAGTTGGAGTGGTAGTACCAACAATTACTCAAACTACTAAAATAAGGATGAAAAGTAGAACTATTGCTATTAACCCTAAATAAATAAAAATGATTTTTAAAAAATATTATGAACACTTGTGTTCCAACAAATTAGGCAACCTAGAAAAAAAAAAGAACAAATTCCCAGAAAACACAAACTACCAATATTGACTCAAGAGAAAATAAAACATATGAATAAATCTATAAGAAGTAGAAAGACTGAATCAAGGAACTACAAAAACCAGGGCATATAGTGTGAAGATGTTGTCTCATTTTGTAGATTGGCATTATTAGCTTCCTGAAGAACCTTTGCTAAAATGTTGTCTTAGCTACCCTTTACGGGTATCATAGAGGCTAAGAGAATTAAAGTGATTCACAAAAAATGGGAGGAAAACAAAATGGATTTTCAACATACCTGCCCTGATGGGGCGGAAGTCTTTAAGTTGTTATTACAGAATGGTATTTGTAATATGGACAGTGACAGTGCAACACAAAGGTCTTAAAGCAACACTACCAGGGGTTGAGTGGACTGATGGTAGGTCCTGATGGTCTCCCAATCTTGAAGGGCCATGAACAAACCCACTTTATTTATCCTAGTTTGGAAGAATGTACAAAGTCGGAAGGCAAAATGGCAATGAGAAACCAAACCTTGAATTACCATGGTCAGTTGGCAAATTAATAAGAATAAAAATTTGATGAAGGGACCTTAGAATCTCTTGTCATAACCCCTGGCATGGGGACCCAAGGTTATATGCACATGTGCGGGTAAAGTGACCAAGGAGTGGAGAAAAAACTTTTTTTGGAATCCTTGACACAGGAACCCAGTGCAGTAATTGGGCTACAATTAGATAGAGACACTATGGGAATTCAATGAGTGATGAAATTAAAGTAGAAGTTTAGGTGAAAATTGGAATGTTTGAACAAATTTATGTGAAGTGATTGTATTTCCTTTACTTGAATGTTTTATTTGAATAGACGTTATGTCTGACTGAGAAACACCTCCACTATCTAGCATTGCAAAATAAAAGGCATGTAACACTTTGGCCATTATTAATTTGAAATACTAAATGTGGATCTATAGAATTGCCTGATCCCATACAGGTTGTAAATTTGAAACATTATTGCATAACTGGTGGTAAAAAAAGATGACCACTTTAATTAATGGCAGTTTGAAGTTGTAGTGGTAGCAACAGCAACTTTTTTGTACACTCGCACTGTGTAGCCCATAAAAAAGGCAAATCGCTTATGGAGTCTAAGAGTAGATTATTAAGGATTGAATAAAATAGTACTAAGTATAGCAGCAGGTTCATGGCATGGTTTCAGCAGTGCCAAAAACTGCAAAAACAAAAAACTGAAAGAGACTTGTGCTCAGTGAGTGGTTTTGTAGATGCTATTTTCTCACTCTTCGTCTCAGAAAAGAGTCTACTACAGTTTGTCTTAATGTGGCAATAATCCCAATTTACATTTCCTGTATTACCCACAGGGTTATTTAAATTCACCAGCTTCTGCCATAATTTGGTTAGAAAGAATTTGAACTCAATGCAGGTCCCCAGTGTAATAATATACTATATTTTGATAATATCATGACAGTAAGTGAGGAGCAAGTGAGAACTGGCTTAGATAAAGCAATGAGACATATGATTAACAGAGGCTGCTTGATAAATCAAGCAAAATCCAAGGGTTTGCCCAAATGATGAAGCTCTTAGAATTACTTGGACAGGACCAGTAGTGACAGAAATTCTAAAGACAACGAAGAATAAACTATTGTCATTGCCTACCCCTGGAATTGAGCAGAGCACCTGAAGGCCATATTTGAATGGGGAACTGAATAACAGCAGGCTATATCAAAATTGCAAAAAGTGGTGGCTCAATCCATTCTTCTGGGCCTTTATGATCTAGACTCAAATTATTTTAGAAGTATCTGTAACTCCTACTTATGTCAATTAAAGTTTATGACAAAAGCCCATGAGTGCTGTCCAACAGTGACCACCGGGATTTTGGAGCAATATTTTCACACATGGTGGTATGGTGCATACCATTTGAAAAATAATTATTGGCTTATTACTGGGCCTTAATTTAAACTTCCCATATGACTGAAGGCCATATAACATTCTTGAAACCTTAAATACTCGTAATGTCAGAGAAACACTCTAACAAGGAGAACAGTGCCAAGAAGAGTTCCGTAATAAAGTGAAAACGGTCTATACAGGAAGATAGTACTGGAAGAATGCAAGATAATACTCATAGTATGCATGATAAGGTAGCCCCTTTTCCTTCTGGACTGACTTTGTAACCACTTGAGGAGCTTCCAGATTTTATGATCACATGGATGGTATCCTATTTATAACTCTTCATTGACCAACAAGAAGTTGTTTGGTTTATGAATTGCATTTCCAAGGTGGATGGACAGCATCCTGTTTGGAAGGCCATCACATTACAACTGACTGATAGAAAACTCTGATTGAAGAAGATAAGAACAAGCCATCTCTGGCTAAATTGCATGCTGTTTTCCTTGCAGTGATGGAGGAATTTAACAACAATGAAAGTTCCAACGTTTGGGTGTATATTGACTCATGAGTGGTGGCCAGTGGCCTGGCCATATGGGCAGGCAAAAGGGAAATGGAAAACTGACTTATTAAAGGGACACCTGAATAGAGCACAGTCCTGAGGTAAATCACTCTATGGGAATTTAAGGGACACATTAAAGTAGGACATATAGATACCCATCAAAATAATCTTTCCTTAAGGCTGTCTCTACTCCAAACTGACTCCTTCAAATGTTAGGCATATTCATGCGGATGCAATTGCTATATCAGGCATATATCAAATGCTCTATAAAAATAATCTTCTTACTTAATTGAAAAGGCACTAGAACCAGTTAGAGCCAGGATACCCTGGTGCACTCCCTTTAGGTGGCCACCTGGATCAAGAAATGAGTGTACATGAGATTTCTGCAGTAATGCTAAGATGAGTGATTATCGACATATTCCTCTCATGCCTTCTAAAAGCAAAGTACCATCCTAAGAGATAGAAATTGTAGATGGCTGTGAGACAGACCTCCGGGCGGAAGGCCCTGCATATATCCGGCACGTAGAAATCATTGGATCTCTACCAGTAACCCTGGGAGACTATAAATTGGTCCTGACGGTGGATAGACATTTGATCTTGACTGGGCTTTGCATACTTAATGATAGATGTGAGTTGTATTAGTCTGCTTGGGCTACCATATCAACATACACAGACTGGATGGCTAAAACTACAGATGTTTATTTTATCACAGTCTGGAGGCTAAAAGTCCAAGATCAAGGTGCTAGCAGTATCGGTTTCTGGTAAGGCCTTTCCCCTTGGCTTGCAGATAGCCACTTTCTTGCCATATTCTCAAATGGTCTTTTCTCTATGTGAGTGTAGAGAAAAAGAGAAAGGGAGAGACAGAGAGAGAGAGAGAGAGAGAGAGAAAGAGAGAGAGAGAGAGAGACTGATGCTAATATGGAAGACCCAACATTTTTTTGGTCCAGAACATGTATTCTAACTGTATTGAGACCACTAGTACACAATATCAACAACATTCATAATGGATTAATCAACAGAAAAGGGGCTTTAGGAGAGCTAAGTGGCAGACTAAGCATCATGGGATAAGCTGAATTTGCTTTTTTTTTTTTTGAGACAGTTTCACTCTGTCGCCCAGGCTGGAGTGCAGTGATGTGATCTCGGCTCACTGCAACCTCTGGCTCCTGGGTTCAAACAATTCTCATGCCTCAGCCTCCTGAGTAGCTGGAACTACAGTCATTTGCCACCATGCCTGGCTAATTTTTTGGTATTTTTAACAGAGATGGGGTTTCACCATGTTAGCCAGGCTGGTCTTGAACTCCTGACCTCAAATCTGCCTGCCTCGGCCTCCCAAAGTGCTGTGATTACAGGCGTGAGCCACTGCACCCCGCCAAGCTGAATTTGCTTTTAATGAGGAGTGGCATTTAGAGGAAGAGTTCTTAAGTAGATTAGGCTGATTAAAAGCAAAGGATTGGAATAAGCAAAGGATTGGAATAAGCATGAAAAGAGGATGGGGATTTAGTGAAGTGGGTCACGCAGGCTCCACAGATAATGTAGTATAAAGTTAGGACCCAGTGTTGGGAAAGGGGAAGTACCCTGACCCAGCAGGACCTCTTGACTATGTTAATAAAGGTGGAAGACAAAATAGTCATTGTGCAATGGCTTCCCTTTCTGGCTACAAAGGGCACATCTATGGGAATCTTACGGACCTCTGTATTCATGGAAAACCTCTGAGGGCACTTGCAATTTACACTGATGCACTCTGACTGCACTCACTCCAACAGTATATCAGAATAAGATATATTCTGTAGTACAGTTACCAAGAATAAGAACAATTCTTAATAACACTATTTTCCTCCTCATAGGAGGCAAATGGGCCCCATCACACAATAACATACAATTGACACCAGTCTTGGCACAAGTCTGTTAACTGAGACAAAGTGATTGGCTTTATCCCTAACTGCCTTGGAACCCAGAAATAATTGAATCATGGGCTAATTGCAGTAACAATTATCCATCATGATATCTGGCATATGACCAAGGGATGATTCTGTTAAGGGAAATACCTCTGTAATTTTTACTGATTTATTCTGTATTAAAACTGTACTGATTTGTTCTGTATTAAAACTGAATTGTACTGTAACTATATTGTGATATCGTGCAACAATGACATTTTGGGTTAGATTCAACTATCATGTGTACATAAGTTATATGATAATATCAATATTAATGGTCAAATACATTGAGAGATTGAAGTAAAGCCTCCTCAGGATGTAACACAATGGAAAGTGAATGACCCAAGGAAGAATGGGATTTAACTACCATCAACTAATTTGTATTCTATTACAAATAGAAGTTGGTGCAAAAGTAATTTATTTAATAAATCATCCTGTACAAGCTTATCACAAGGTACAATAATGGTATATCAAGAGAACAGTGCATAATCAAATTAGTATGAAAATAAGAAAATGTATGTAATACCTTTAGAGAATGGATTATTTCCTTAAGTCTGTCTCTACTCCAAACTGACTCCTTCAAATGTTAGGCATATTCATGCTGATGCAATTGTTATATCAGGCATATAAATGCTCTATCAAGTGCAGATGCTCCTCAAATCTGATTACTCTGCTGTAAGAGAACCCATGCCAAGAGCCAGAGTGAGAGGAACCGTGTGGGAAGGGATAAACTGAGTCAAATACTGCACATTCCCAAGAAGAAGCTGTCTTCAGGACTGGCCCTTGGCTAACAAATGTGCTTCATATTGAACACCTGTTTCTGTATGTCTGTGGCCTTGGGCCGTGCAGTACCAGTTTGATGAGATAGTTTATGTTAACAAATGTGATTTACAGTGAATTTCTCTTTTTCTCTGAGGGGCTGGAGCTTGAGTAGCCGAGACTTTGTTATGTAGTTGCTACATGCCAACAAGAGTGACACTTCATTAGAAATCTTAGGCAGCAAGGCTTGGTTGAGCTTCCCTTGTTGGTGACACTCTGCACATGCTGGCATAAATTATTGCTGGGAGAATTAAGCATGTTCATATGATACTACTAGGAAAAGACAACTGGAAGCTTGCATCTGGTTTCTTCTGGACATTGCCCATGCATTTTTTCTTTAATTAGTTTTAATCTGTTTCCTTTGGCTTTAATAAATCACAGCTCTGAATGTAACAGCTTATGAGTCTTTGAGTCCTTCTCACTGAGCCTGCCAGTGGTCTTGGCAATCCCCGACACAGAAAATTTCTCAGCATAATAAAGGGCATCTGTAAAAAATCCAGAGATTTAACATCATACTTAATGGTGAAAGACTGAAAACATTCCTCCTGGATCAGAAATAAAACAAGGATGTTCATTCTTGCCATCACTTATCTACATTGTACTAGAAGTTCTAGCCATGACAATTAGACAAAATGCATGCAGATTTGAAAGGAAGAAGTAAATGACATATATTTGTAGATAGCATCATCTTATATGTAGAAAATCTTAAGGAAACCCTTCCACTCACAAAATTATTAGAGCTAATAAATGGGTTTAGCAGAGTTGTAGGATACAAAATTAATATGCAAAAATAAGCTGTATTTCTATCCAATAGGAATGACCCATCTGGAAGAAAATTAAGAAAAAAATTCCATTTACAACAGCAACAAAAAATAAAGCACTTAGGAATAAATGTATCCAAAGAAGTGTAAGACTTGTGTATCACAAGTCATTTTTGAAACACATAAAACAATGTTGAAAGAAATTAAAGACCTAAATAAATGGAAAGAGATCCTGTATTCATGAGAAGGAAAACTTAATACTGGTAAGATGGCAATACTCCCTCAAATTAATCTATAGATTCAATGTAATCTCTATCAAAATTTCAACAGACCTTTTTTTTTTGCATAAATTAGGACAATGATCCTAAAATTCATATGGAATTTCAAGGGACCCCAAATAGTCAAAACATTCTTAAAAGTAAGAAAGTTGGAGAACTCACATTTCCTTATTTCAAAACTTACTAAAAGCTACAATTATCAAAACATTGTAGTACTAGCATAAGGAGACACATTTTGATCAGTGAATAATAATTGAGAGTTCAGAAATAAACAAATATGCCTATGGTAAATTAATTTTTGCTAAAGATGTCATGACCATTAGATGTGGTAAGAATAATGTCTTCAACAAATTGTTCTGAGGCAACTGGATATTCACACACAAACAATGAAATTGAACTTCTACCTTACAACATATACAAAATTGAACTAAAAATGGTTCAAAGACCTAGATATAAGATCCATGTATTAGCCCATTCTCATGCTGCTATGAAGAAATACCCAAGCCTGGGTAATTTATAAAGAAAAAAGGTTTAATTGACTCACAGTTCTCCAGAGCTGGGGAGACCCCAGGAAACTTACAATCATGGCAGAAGGGGAAGCAGACATGTTCTTCTTCACATGGCAGCATGAAGAGAAGTGCCAAGCAAAGTGCGAAAAGCCCCTTATAAACCATTAGATCTCATGAGAACTAACTCACTATCATGAGAATAGCATGGGGGTAATCGCTCCCAATGGGGGTAATGGCTGTCATGATTCAATTACCTCTCATGTGGTCCCTCCCATGACATGTGGAGATTATGGGATTACAATTCAAGGTGAGATATGGGTGGGGAAACAGAACCAAACCATATCAAGCCAAAACTATAAAACTCTTAGGAGGAAATGGATAAATTCTCATGATCTTAGATTAAGCAATATGACAACAAAAACACAGGATTAAAAAAAAAGTGGGCTTCATTAAAATGAAAACCTTTTGCGCATTAAAAGGCATTATCAAGAAAATGAAGTAACAATCCATAGAATTGGAAAATATATTTGCAAATCATATATTTAATAAGAGTTTATTATGCAGAATATTAAGGAATTTTTTAAACTCTTACAACAAAAAGGCAACCCAGTTAAAAAATACACAAAGAACTTGAATAGACATCTCTTTAAAGAAGGTTTACAAATGGTCAATAAACACATTAAAGGATATTTGGCATCACTAATCATTACAAAAATTCAAACCATAATGAAATACAACTTCACACCCATTAGAATAGCAATAATAATAATAATAATAATATATGTTGGAAATATTGTGACAAATTTAGAATCTCTGCACATTGCTGGTAGGAATGTAAAATGGTACAGCTGTAGAAAGCAGTTTGTTGGTCTCCCAAAATGTTAAACATAGAATTGCCATATGATCCAGCAATTCCACTCTCAGGTATATATCCAAAAGAATTTAAAACAGGGACTCAAACAGATAATGTGTATTAATATTCATAGCAGCATTATTCAGAATAGTCCCCAGAATAGAAATGACCCAAGTGTCCATCAAGAGAATGAATAAACAATATGTAATATGTACATATAATGAACTATTAAAGGAATGAAGTACTGATATACGCTCCAACATGCATGAACCTTGAAAACATTAAGTGAGAGAAACCAGACATAAAAAGTCACATATTATATAATCCAATTCATATAAAATATTCAGAATAGGAAAATCAACAGACACAGAAAGTAGATACATGGTTGCCAGGGCTTGGAGGGAGAGATAATGGAGAGTGCCCATTAATAGGTAGAGTTTCTTTTGGGAGGTGATTGGAATGTTCTGGAATGATGTAGTCATGATGGTTTCACAACCCTGTGAATGTACTAAAAGCCACTGAATTATCGTGATGGTTAATTTTAGAAGTCAACTTGACTGGATTAAGGGATACCTAGAGAGCTCTGGAGAGCTGGTGAGGCATTACTTCCAGATGTGTCTGTGAGGGTGTTTCCAGAGGAGATTGGTGTGAGAGTCTGTGGACTGAGTGAAGAACCACCCTCACTGTGGGCGGGCATTGTCCAGTTGAGTAGGGGCCTGAACAGAACAAAATGGCAGAAGAAACATGAATTCACTCTCCTGTAGCTGGAACACCTTTCTTCTCCTGCCCTTGGATGTTAGAACTCCAGGTTCTCTGGCCTTCAGACTCCAGAATGCATCAGTGGCTCCCTGAATTCTCAGACCAACTGCATTGGATTGAGAGTTATTAATACATCATCAGCTTCCTTGATCCTGAGACTTTCAGACTTGGACTGAGTCAGCATTCCTGGATTTCCAGCTTGCAGACTGTCTATCATGGGACCTCTCTGTTTCTGTAATCACATGAGGCAATTCACCTAATAAATCCCTTCTAATCTATCTGTCTGTCTGTCTGTCTGTCTGTCTGTCTGTCTGTCTGTCTGTCTACCTGTCTGTCTATCTTACTGGTTCTGTCTTTCTGGAGAACCCTAACTAATACAATTATATACTTTAAAATGGCTAAAGTGGTACGTTTTATGTTATGGAAATGTTATCTCTATTTAAAAAAAGCAGAAGAAAAAACAAAACTCTGGCCTCCTCTGAGTGTTTTGGTTAAGGAGAAATAAGAATCTTGAAGGGTCATGTAGTATTTTCAATGTTGTTACAAAGACTAAAATTAAGTTACTTGGAAGATGATTTAGGCAACTTAGAACATTTGCACAGATCACATTAGTATTTCTTATAAAATCAATACTAAAAATGCATGAACATGTGCCACAACAGCAATAATGATGACAATAACAGCAACAAAGTGTGGTGGATATGATCTTTTGTGTATTAATTTGTATCTCAATCCTTATCTATATTTGAGCCCATGACCTAGACTCAGCATATCAGGGTCACTTGGTCTTGGTTTTGAGTCAGGATCCAGGATCATAAAACAGCTGGACAAGAAGACATCCTTCCTGAGAGCAATGGTAGGGTTGTCATCCAGGCTGGCCAATTATTCTCATTTATTCCTGCTCATTTTCAGTACTCACTTCTTCATAATTTCTATAAAATCCATGAGAATCTTGACATCATTTCAAGATATTTCTTTTCTGTTTAAATCAGCCAGCATCCATTTTGGTTGTTTACAAGAAATAACTGGCTGAAATGAAAATTTGCACTCACACCATCTGACAGCTGGACTCCCTGAACCTTGTGTTGGGCAACTTCCTCAAGCTGTGAGGCCCTTGGCCTGGCCCAGTGTCCCCAGTCAACTGGTTTTCACCCCCAGAATTGTTCCCATAGTTGTTTTTCACTAATGTCTCTACTTTTAACCAAATAATTTAGCTCTATGTAGCCCACAAATAATTTTTTTCTAATATCTACCTTCCCCTCCAATTCCTACCACTCATATCCATCAGAACCCAGTCAAAATTCGTCTTCTTCTTAAAAAAAAAAATGTGTTCCACCATACTTTAAACTTAACCTCTCCTGGACATTAAAACAATGCTTGTTCTAAATGCCAAATCCCATGGCAATATCTGAATCCACACTTCTATAAGAATTATTCTCATATTTCTTCATATTTCCAGCTAGCCTGTTACTTCCAGAAAGTTTCTAATTTCTCCAGCAAATTCTTCTCTTAATATCTTGGAATGTAGCTAGGACTACTCTCTACTTTGGATATTTTAAATTTCTAATATCAAGGACAATTGGTTTTGTATGAGCTAATTCATGTAATAATCTATTTCAATTGAAATCTAATTATATCAGTTTAGTAACTCCCTATGACCTTTGAGATAAATACAAACTCCTTAGTGGAACTTGAGAGCTTGAATGTCCCTCTGTTTGCTAGCCTCTGAGACTTCTGCAGTCTTTTTTCCACCTATTCTCTCTCATGCACTCTGTGTGTTACATTGATGAGCTCCTTGAAGTTTTAGGGCACCATCTTTTAGTGCATGCCTGCCTCCACACACATGGTTTTACTTTTCCTCAGATTTTATTTTTTCTACCACATAGATATTTACCCGAAGATTTAGCTCAAAATTCTTTTCTGTGAAGCCTTAGAAACTTAAATCAAGTCAGTCAAATAGAGAGCGGGACATGTGTGCTCTTATCTTAGCTTGGATACTAACTGTGTCCAAGGCAGGCCACCTAACCTCACACCATCTCAGCTTCTCAATAAGGTGATTGTTCTTATCAATCTGAGGGCAGTCACAGTGGGTAGAAACTAAGATGACCAAGAGCTCAGAAAGACCTCAGAGGCTACAACTTGTTGATTATAGATTACGAGTCTGTATTAGTCTGCTTGTATTACTATAAAGAAATATCAGAGACTGGTTAATTTATAAAGAAAAGAGGTTTAATTGGCTCATGGAATTGTAGTGCAAGCATCTGCTTCTGTTGTGGGCCTTAGGAAGCTCACAATTATGGTGGAAGGTGAAGCAGGAGTAGACACATCACATAGTGATAGTGGGAGGAAGAGGGTGAGGGAATGAGGTCCTAGACTTTTAAACAACCAGATCTCAGGCGAACTGACTGAAAACTCACTTACCACCAAGGGGATGGTGCTAAACCATTCATGAGGGATCCGCCCCCGTAATCTGATCACCTCCCACCAGGTCCCACCTCCAACACTGGGAACCACATTTCAACATAAAATTTGGAGGAGACAAACATCCAAACCATATCAAGGTTTTACTGAAGATCTTTCATCTTTGCATTTAGAACCATTGACTAGCACATGCATTTGTGGACACTGAGATGCACTTCACTTCTTAAGCCGTGGGGAATTAGTCCCATAGTATCTTCCCCTCTGGAAAATGAACATTCACAAAGCTAGGATGAGCACAGGGGCTCAGAAACTGGAAAATAAATGTATTGTTTTATGTTCCTGGCCAGGGAGAATAGGAATCTGGAGAGAAGAGAATGGAGAGATGACAGATTTGGAAGCTGTGTGCAGAAGCGTTAAGTGCCTATGGGGAATATACCGGAGCATATTGCCTGTGTACATTTTCTGGAGCAGTTGCTGCCAGCACAGGCAGACAAAGCCTATTTATCGAAGAGCACTGTTTTAGCTTCGCCACAGCTGCGTCAGAGAGTACAGCGAAGCTTCTGAGTGCACACAAAGCTGCCGGCTCAGGGAGAATGGTCGGCAACCTTCAACATACACTCTTTTCAGAATGTGGGAAGACAAAACACAAAAGAGTCTTGCAGAATAACCTCTGGTAAAATGTGTCTGAATTCTTTATTAAGTAATTGAATGTAGCCTTTCTTGCTGCAAGTTGGATAGGAGCTGGGTATCTGTGAAGAGAGGGTGTGGAGAATAAATGAGAGGTAAATTTTTTGTGATTAGGCAAACCTTTACGTTCAGTTTTGCAGTGAGTATTACTCAAATGGTTTGTGAATTCTACAAAGCATGCTGGAATATTTTTCATTAACATTCCTTGAGCTTTAATGATAGGTAGTATCTGCTGACAGATAACAGCCATTGTGGTTACCTGATGATACAGTTTATTCCATGGAAGCCAGGGTAGATATGAGAATCCACTCCACTTAAAGTGGATACCAAGGAGTATCAATTAGGTGGTGAAAACATGAGCTCTAGGAGTGGGGTAATTCAGTGCTCCCTTATGTTTTGTTTTCAAGACTTTTGGTTTTATTTTTTATTTCTTCTTCTTATTTTCTGAGATGGAGTTTTGCTCTTGTCTCCCAGGCTGGAGTGCAGTGGCATGATCTTGGCTCACTGCAACCTCTACCTCCCAGGTTCAAGTGATTCTCCTACCTCAGCCTCCCAAGTAGCTGGGATTACAGGCACCCATCACCACTCCCGGCTACTTTTTGTATTTTTAGTAGAGACAGGGTTTTACCACGTTGGCCAGGTTGGTCTTGAACTTCTGACCTCAAGTGATCTGCCGCCTTGGCCTCCCAAAGTGCTGGGATTACAGGCATGAGCCACTGTGCCCAGCCAAGACCTTTGGTTTTAATAATTAGATGAAACCTGTTTCTGGACCTGAGGCCCCTTCAGTAGTTGTGACATTCATGTGATCTCTATGGGGAAAAAGTGAAGCAGAGACTCTCTGGTTTTCAGCATCTTCTAAAGCTTACTGGCATTGTGATACATCCTGGCATCTTGAGAGTAGGGAAGCTGACTGCTCAAGTCCATATCCCATGAATATATTCACAAATATTAGTATAACCCATAACACTTTCCATCTGACAACATCATGGCTCTCCCAGATCACGTCCATTTTCTGTCACCATAATAACCAACAGTCACTGGAATGTAAGAGCCAAGAGAGCAGAAACCTTGTCTGCCTTGTTTTCTCTTTACCAAGTGGCTCCCAGAGTCTCTGGCACATTAGAGGCATCAGTAAATACAGCTGGATAGAATAATACCCCATCATGACAACGTAGCACTGAGAAATAGACAAGGGAAAGCAAGTCTGTAAAGATGAGCTCTCCCTCAATTTGAAGGTGTGCGTTTGACTTCATCACCCCATCCAGGGATAGAGTCTTTCTCCCTTCTGGCCTCTAGGTTGTTAGATCCATATTTTCAGTGGAGATAATGTTCAAATTCTATGTGCCCTCCACAGCATCTAGATTTAATATTTCATATAAGGTGACCACAAACTTGAAAATTTCTGTATTCATTAGTTAGATTTTATTTCCATTTGGGAAGGAGGTTTTCAGATGTCTGCTTAAGAAACGTGAGCCCTTGACCCAATTTTTCACTACTCAGTTCCTTCATATGTTATTTGAGCACAATGGCTTTTGACTCTGAGAAAAATAAACAAATAAACAGTAAAAACAAAAGAAAGAAAAACACCACCACCACTAAAACTCCTTTAAATTTAACATTAAAAATGTGAAAGAATGTAATAACGTCTTTTGCACATTATTACGTTCTTTGGATGCAATAATATCCAAAGAACTGGAGGCCATTATTCCAAGGGAAGTAACTCAAGAATGAAAAACAAAATACTACATGTTCTCACTTATAAGTGGGAGCTAAGCTCCGGGTATGCAGGGTCATAGGGAGTGGCATAATGGACACTGGAGATTCAGAAGTGTGGGGAGGGGTAATGTACAGTATTTGGGTGACATCCTTTAGTTGGCAAGTTCTGGAGACCTACCTCCATGATATACTAATTTGTGACTGAAGAAAATCACTTACCTTGTTGGAACATCAGGTTTATTTATTTATTATAAATTGGGATTAGTAATATCAATAATATAAATGCCTATCTCACAAAGATGTTGTGAGACATAAGGTGAATAATTATATGTTTATTTTACATATATATGTCCATGTTTACAGCATGTGCTGGAAGGCTTCATGAAAATATTACTGATGAGGCCGTGTGTGGTGGCTCACACCTGTAATCCCAGCACTTTGGGAGGCCAAAACAGGTGGATCACCAGAGGTTAGGAGTTCGAGACCAGCCTGACCAACATGATGAAACCCCATCTCTACTAAAAATACAAAAAAAGTAGCCGAGGGTGGTGGGGCATGCCTGTAATACCAGCTACTCAGGAGGCTGAGGCAGGAGAATTGCTTGAACTCAGGAGGCAGAGGTTACAGTGAGCCGAGATCATGCCACTGCACTCCAGCCTGGGCGACAGAGTGAGACTCCGCCTCAGAAAAGAAAAGAAAAGAAAAGATTATTGATTAATCGTTAGTCCACATCTACTGTTTTATTGTTGCCATTGTCATGAAAAAGGGCACATGGAAACCTGTTAAAGTCACTATTGGCCTTCAGTGATTTCTCTTTCAATTACCATCTTCTGTTCACGTTAACAGGACTTCACCTGGTTAAAAATCCAGGAAGTGGGCTGGTGGACACACAAGGACTTGTCCCAGCCACAAAGGCCATTGCCCTTCACATGGAAAACTATTTTAACCTTGGTGCCACGCGGATTGCCATTTGATTATTACTACAAAAGAATGACTAGATAATAAAGGCTGCAGATTTAAAACCAGGTTGGAAGCAAATAAATGTAAAACAAAGCTGCATTGCCTTAGGAAAGGATGTAATGAACTGAACAACAACTGTTGGTTTGTTCAAATGAGCTCTGTGCTTCCATTTAGGGTCTCTCTCTCTCTCTCTCTCTTACTTGCTCCCCCTCTTTTTCTTTCTGTCACATGCACAGAGCCAGGAAGATAAAATTAAACTTCAGAAAGGAGCTGTGTTTCTGGACTGCCAGCTTTAAGCCAAAATTGATAGTGAGACACTGCTATCTGAAATGGTCTCATCGCAGACTTGGCTTATCGGATCAGTGGAGGAGGTAGTTGTCTCTTAGCTCAGAGGTAAGCCAGATTCAGTATACAATTTTAGAGAAAATATTTTTTCTGTAAGAATGTCCCTTGCTGTACGGCTTGTTTTGGGAGCTGACTGTGACTGACAGGATATGTGTTTTCTAGTACAATTAGGCAGAACAGGGCATAGGCTAGCCTGGCCGTCATCAAGAAGTCAGCCTCAACTGGCTGCACCAAAACACAACTTTGTAATACACAGCCTGTTGAAAGCAACAAAAGTTGGGACGGTACCTTACTTGCAGGCAATAGAGACAGGCTCTGGCTAAGATAAACAAACAAACAAACAAACAAAGGGAATCTATAGGAAAGGCATGGGGAATTCATGAGGTTGAAAGAGGGTGGAAGAATCAAGCCTGAGTCACAGAAACAAGGCAGCTCTAGATGGTGCTAGTAGCAGGAACAGCTCCACAATTTCCCCTACTAGCTGAAACAAGCTCTGCAGCTTGTGTCTTGCTGCTGAGAAATCACAGTCTCAAATAAAAGTCCGGTGAGCCACGTCTTAGGTAAAGGGGCATTGAGAGAGAGAGTTTGGCTATGGAAACTGCAATAACTGCCTTAGCTTCTATAGTGAAAGGGCAGGTGCCAGAACTTAGCACCCCAGGAAATGATAAGAGGTGCTGAGTGAGTCCCCCTAAAAAATGTTCATTGAAGGAGAAAGGTTTAGGTGAGAAACTTAAAACTCAGATTGTAATCTCTTTTCTTCAGACTTCCATGTTAACTAGGTCTACATAGACCTCCTTGGTGGATTTTGGATTTCTCTCCATGAAGCTGGGTACTTTAAGCCTGAAAGGGTGGAAGCTGAAACACTTGGGCATGATGTAGACACAGGCAATCTTCTTTGCATCAATATGGGACATAGATCTTGGTGACAATTGCTAGAAGTGGTTTCTGTACATGTACCAGGTCAGTGCTATTGTTGGCATTATGAAATTTGAAAGAAAAGAAGGAAGGCAGGAAGGCAGGAACACAGGAAGGAAGGAAGGAAGGGAAAGAAAGAAGGAGAAGGATAAAGGAAAGGAAGGGAAGGGAAGGGGGGAAAGAGAGAGAGAAAGAGAGACAAAAGGGAAGGAGGAAGGGAAGGAAGGAAGGAAAGAAAGGGAAGGGAAGGGAGGAAGGAAAGAAGGAAGGAAGGAAAGAAAGAGAAAGAAAGAAAGAAAAGAAGGAAGGAAGGAGAGAAAGGAAGCAAGGAAGGAAGAAAGCAAGCAAGCAAGAAAGAACAAAGAAAGAAAGAGAGAAAGAAAGAAAGGGAAAGGAAAGGAAAGGGAGGGGAGGGGAGGGGAGGGGGAAGGAGAAAAGACAGAGAGAAAGAAGGGAAGGAGGCAGGGAGGGAAGGAAGGAAGGAAGGGAGGAAGGAAGGGAAAGAAAGATGGAGGGAGAGAGGGAAGGAAGGAATGAATGAAGGAAGGGAGGAAGGAAGGAAAGAGAAGGGTCACAAACCTAAACAGATTCATCAAAGATTAGAATCAAGATAAGAAGCTGAATGAGTTAGAGAATAAGGTTCAAACAGACTGGGGGAATGGAAAGCAGCAGGGTAGCTCTCCGGTCAGCTTCTCATTCAGTTCAGATCGAATGATTTGGTTTCAAACATTAAGACAGTCTCAGGTCAATGCACCAGCAGGGCATGGGGACATGGCAGTCTTCCTCACAGCCTGGGGAAGGTCGTTATAGACCCAGCCCCAGTTATTATGGACCCAGGCCCAAGAGCCATGCTAGGACTTTATTGTAGGCTGATGAAGTAAAGAAAATAATTTAGAATGTACAGTAGCATGTAAAGAAAAACAAACAAACAAACAAAAAACCCAGCAGCATGGGTTAAAGACAGAGTACCATCCATTTCTAATGAGCGGACAAGTTAATCATGGCAAACTCAGGGCTGATTTTGACTGTTATTGATATCAAGAAGTCTAATTTTATAGCCAGAAGTTTCTGGAGAGTGGCAGCATAATCATTCTGGTCTGGTTAAGGGGTTTGTTTCTAGATGGATTCGATAATATATAAAGTCCAATACTTGCATTGCAGAGATGAGCCAGTCCTTATGGGGGCAAGACAAAGCCACATGAAACATCTGGCTTCCATGAGCAGAAACAAGTTTCAAAACATGCTCAACTGCTCATGTAGCTGGTTTGTTCTCCCAGTTTTAAAACTGGGCACCTAATGGAGAGGTTGAGTAAAGGAAGCAGCCTGATAGGCATGTCTTTGCCAGCTTTTACTTCCCCGTTCTCCATCCAATCCAGGGTGCTTAGCATCCAACTACAAATCTTTCATCGAGGAAAGCAGGGTGCAGACTTAAAAGAAATCCTGAGTTCATATTTCCATTTCCTAAGAAGCAAAGTATTTTTTACTTCAATCGTCAACTCTTAAGAGAACTTCAGTTCTATTGAAGTCTGAACAAGAGCAAAAAGTATAAAGAACTTAAGTATACACCTGAATGTGACCAGACAAGAGTAGGGAGTTTTTCCTAGTACAGTGTTTCCAAAGTAATGGCAAGCTTTAGACATTTTCATTCAGGAGAATATATTTGGAGATGAACAAGTTTGAACTCTCAAGAGTGGAGGAACAGGAATGACCTTATCCTGTATCTATGTCTTGCTTTATGTTAAAACCTTTGAGAATGGAGACCCCTCTGAATCCACATAACTACAAAACTAAACAGAAACCATCAGTGTCAAACTGATTTCACTCTTGTCCAGAAAGATCAGGCTGTAAACCAACAAATAATTTCATTGTTTGCTTCATGAAGTTTTTGCAAATTAATTTATGGGAACGGTTTTCTCAATCTAGGTAAATAGCTCTCCTACCTGGAGAAATAAATTTTTCCCCTGGACAAACAACTCATTTATCAAACAAAAAATTTCCATAGCAAGATTGGCTTTAAGACCATCACCTCACCCATCTTGAAGCATTAAATAAAAATAATTCATCCAAATCTACTCAGCTCCTAGCCTTGAAACACCTGCCTTATACTCCTTGATCCCAGTCTTCAAAATCCTTTAAATATCTTTCCCTGACATCCTCCTTCTGAGCTACTACTAAGGCCCTGCCAGCATTGTATCTTTCTCTACTGCGACGTGCCCAGTAAACCTAGGTTTGCTTCATCAAAGTGTTTTCTGGTGTTCTTTGGAGAGCCCAGAGTTGGCTCTTTCCTGATCATCCTCTTCACTTCCATATGCTGCTTACTGACACTGTTTAGGGAGACTTCTTTGCTCTGCTGAGAATCTCCAAGACAGGCAGGAGAAATGAAAGACCAAAGAAAATGAACTGAAGTCAGCGTGAGAGGTGGTATGATCCTAATCTCTTTCATCTCTCTTTATGAAGAAAAAAGTCTGTCTCGACCCAGAGAGAGTGATAATCCCTCCAGCTTATTTTCAAGACAGCTCAGTGAAGTACTAATTTAAATAATGTAAAGTTATTTTTTTAAATAGACATTTTTATCTTAATTTTTCTATAATTGGCAGGAGAAAAATGTCCAATTCCCTAGTCATGCTTAATCATGCTTACTGGGAATTCAGAGAGGCCAAGTGCATCCCTCCCATTGAGCTGGCATCAGTGAAGGCTGTCACAGAGCACTGTGCTATGTGAGCCCGACATGGAGCCTGGAGGAACAGGCATTCACATCAGGTATAAAGCAGTGAAAGCAGTGTAAGTCAAGCTGTGGAATAACTAAATCAGCTCATTCTGACATTATTGTTTTCAAGAGCTGTGACCATCATTGACATTTCCATGGCATTTTAAGGCATTCCACAAATATCTCATAAACATGCCTAATCCAAAGCCTGACCTTCCACTTAAAATACAGCTACTTATGAGATTTATTTTTTTCTGCTCCACATTTTCTCTTTCTTTTGTGCTGTCCACGTATGCTTATTTATTTATACCACATCTACTTCCATCGAAGTGATTTGAGACAGCTTACAATAGAAGTGAAAATAAATGAGGCCAAAATGTGCCTTCCAATAGGAATAAAACACAGGTTGCCTACAGTTTTCATAAAAATTTCGGCAATATTACTGCTCCTTATTCCTCCCGTCCAATGTCCTTAGCATCTAACTGCAACTCTTTCTTACATACACATCCTGCAGAGTTGAAGGAAATCTTGAATCCAAATTCCTAAATCCAGAAAACCAAAACATTTTTCCTTTATTTGTCAATTTGACAAATGAAGGGAAAGAACTGGCCAGGCGCAATTGCTGACGCTTGTAATCCCAGCACTTTGGGAGGCTGAGGCAGGCGGATCACAAGGTCAAGAGTTCCAGACCAGCCTGGCCAACACAGTGAAACCCCGTCTCTACTAAAAATACAAAAATTAACTGGGCGTGGTGGCGGGCGCCTGTAATCCCAGTTACTTGGTAGGCTGAGACAGGAGACTCGCTTGAACCCGGGAGGCAGAGGTTGCAGTGAGCCCAGATCATGCCACTGCACTCCGGCATGGGAGACAGTGTGAGACTCTGTCTCAAAAAAAAAAAAAAGAACTGAGAGAACTTCAGTTCCACTGAAAGTGGTGACTTTGATTCAAAATATGCATCACACCTACACACACAGAGGCACAATCAATTAATCCATCGAATTTTCTTCCTCCTTATTTCCACGTGGAGTCAATAATCTAATTCAAGAATTCAAGGCATGGCAAATGTTTTCTGCAAAGGAGCAGATACTTTTGGCTTTGTAGGTCATACACTGCTTGTTGCAACTACTCAACTCTGCTGTTAAAGCACAAAAATAGCTGTAAAAATATGTAAATATGTAAAGAATGAACATGACTGTGTCCCAGTGAAACTTTATTTACAAACAGACGTGGGAAGCTGGGTTTTGTCCACAGGCCATAGTTGGCTGACTCCTCACTGAATGTTCTGCCTTCCTCCAATCTAGGTTCAGAGCTGAAGGTGAAGTGGAGGAAAGAAAACAAGCTAGAAGTATTCAAAGTGAACAGAAAATTGGCCATATTGCTGTTAGTATCCCCTCTTTTTCTGTTGGGTTTTTAGTTTGTTTTTGTTATTATTATTATTTTGATAGGTTGTGTTTTTGTTATTCCTGTTATTGTGGGCAGAATGGTAGCCCCAAAGATATATCCATGTGCTAGTCCCTAGGACCTGTAAATAATATTTTATTTGGAAAAGAGCTTTTGCAGATGTGATTAAGTAAAGGATCTTAGAGATAAGGATGAGGATCTTGAGACCCTGAATAATTTGGATAGACCCTAAATTCCCCCACAAGCATGCTTATGAATTAGACACACACAGAAGAGAAAGTGATGTGACAATGGAGTCAGAAATTGGAAAGATGCTGCCACAAACCAAGGGATGCTGGCTGGCAGTCACCAGAGCCTGAAGAGGCTGGCAGTCACCAGAGCCTGAAGAGACAAGGAGCAGATTCTCCCCAGCAGTCAACAGAGCCGGAAGAAACAAGGAGCAGATTCTCCCCTGGAGCCAGCAGAGGAAGTGTGGGTCCGTGAAACTGACTCAGCCCAGGGAGGCATGCAGAGCATCTGTCTCCAGGACTGTTAGAGAATACATTTCTGTTGTTTTCATCCATCCAGTTTGTATTAGTTGCAGTATCCATAGGAAAGTAATAACACCGCATTTCTCACTTGTAAGTGGGAGCTGAGCAATATGAACACATGAACACAGGGAGGGGAACAACACACACTGGGGCCTGTCCAGGGGGTGGGATGGGGTGGGGGAGAGCATTAGGAAAAATAGCTAATGCATGTGGGGCTTAATACCTAGGTGATGGGTTGATAGGTGCAGCAAACCACCATGGCACATGTTTATCCATGTAACAAACCTGCACATCCTGCACATGTACCCCAGAACATAAGATTAAAATTTAAAAAAAGTGAAATAAAGTAATAAACCTGTATTTCCTTCCTCTGCATTGGAAATAATTTCCTTTCTGTTCTTTTACCTTTAACATGTATATTTGACTTAGCAGTATGTAAATCCAATCAACATCTCTATATTTTTACGAAACAATTGCGAAAATTCAGAACAACTTAATTTTCCCCTGCCATGTCAAATTACATGCCATTATTATTCAGCATTTTGCATTTCCTTATAGTTAACTTTCCACATTCATTGTTAAAATTTAGATATAATTTTATCTTTTCTTTAAAATTAACAATAATTTACCTATATCCTTATATTTACCAATTTTACCAGTTTATTTACTTATTATTGTTTTTATCTAATTTTCTTACTGAAGTACATTCTTTAAGAGATCATTCAGAGAGAATCTACAGAGAACAGTTCTCTTACTCCTTTTATTGGGAAAAAAAAAGTTTGAATTTTGCCTTTAAATGATACTTGAGCTAGATGAAAAAGTCTAGGTGGACAATTATTTCATTCGACATGTGAAGTGATCGTTTTATTACCTTCTCCTCTCTACTGTGCTGCAGAGAGGTCTTCTTACAGTCTAATTTGTGTTTATTTTGTGATAATCAGTCCTTCCCTTATGGCTGCTTGTATGACTTTGTCTTTTTCTTTGTTGTTCTACAGCATTTTTGTCTAGGAGCTCAGAGTTTGGTGGGCTTCGTCAATCTGAGAATCCATGCATCTTCCATTCTAGAAAAATAATTCAGTTTTTATCTCTTTAAATATTGCACTTCTCTCATTTCCATTTTTCTTTATTTCTAAACTTAATAATGCATATGTTCAACCTTCTTATACTACCTTTTAGGTCTCTTAATCTCACTTTTATAGTGTTCATTTATGTTTGCCTCTAGGCTGAACACTCAGTAATTTCAACCTTTTTTCTTCTAAATTTTTGTCTAAGTTTTTGTTAAATCTTTTTAACCCATTCATTGAGTTATTACTATTATAATTATTTTTATCATTAGTTTGATTTGTTTCTTTAAATGTCTTCCTATTTTTCATAGTATCCTTTTTTTATTGTGATTTTATTTATTTATTTATTTATTGAGATGGAGTCTTGCTCTTGTCGCCAGGCTGGAGTGCAGTGGAGCGATCTCGGCTCACTACAACCTCCACTGCCCAGGTTCAAGTGATTCTCCTGCCTAAGCCTCCCAAGTAACTGGGACCACAGGCACACACCACCATGCCAGGCTAATTTGTGTATTTTTTGTAGAGATAGGGTTTCGCTGTGTTGCCCAGGCTGGTCTTGAAGTCCAAGTTATATGCAAGGCAAAATGCCTATGCATTTAAAAGCCTAAACATCTTATAATGAGCTCATATTCAGTGGAATATGATTTTCCTGTGGGAGATCTGTGCACCTTGGGTTTTGGAAATTTCCAAATTGAATGTTATGGCATCAAGTGCTACTGCGGATCATTGGAGAAATTGCTCCTCGGTTCCTATGTTTGTTCACTGTAAGTCTCACATTAGTCTTGAGATTTGTAATGTCTTATTACGAGGTCATCTTCAGTACAAGCTCTTTTGTTGGTTTGTTTCTTTGTGCATGTATGTGCACACACAGGAGATACTTGTGCCCTGTGGATTTTGAGAGTTTCAAAATAGAGTGTCAAGGCATGCATGAGCTTCTACTTAGGGTCCTGGGAGATTACTACCCTGAGTTCAGTTTATATGACAATTTACTGTCCTGGGATACTTATAGCACACATGAGCTGAATTCAAGAATCACATCTGTTCATACTGAAGTCGTGAGATTTGCAAAGCCTTATCATGAGCTTATCTCATAATGAGTCGGAGTTTGCGGATGTGGGTGTTTATGTGTGTGGTGGAGATTGGGGGAGATTTGTGCAAGATGTCCTCTGGAAATCTACAAATAGAGCAGTATAGCATGTGCTTCTAATGAAGGTCTTGGGTAATTTACTGTTTAAAATTCAGTTTATATGTTAATTTATCAAATTGGGATACCTAGAGCATGTGTTGGTATGAATAAAGGTTTCACATCTGTCTATGGTAAAGTTTTGGGGTTTGATTTGCATAAAATATTTTTCTTCTCTGTGAAAGATACTGGAAGATATTATGTTTTCTTGTTGCTGTTCATGGCAGTGAGCGGAGGTTTTCAAACTCATTTTTTTTTTCCCTGAAAAAAAGAGTCCTTCAGAGATGTCACTTGGTGCATAGCTGTTAGTTGTGGCTTTCCATCTCATACAGTCTTCAAGAATACAGCTACTGTTCCTGGATGGATGTTAAATCACAACCTCTCAAAGGGCTCAGGCCTATATATTGCTTTTACCCTCTGGACTGCTACTGAGTCAGCTTGTAAAATAACTGCCTTGGTTATGAATTTTCTCCTTTGTTTTTGTGAAAGAAAGTTAGATTACCATCTTTCAAACTTGACTGTATATATTTCTGATGCTTTTCAAAAAAATTCAGGATTACTATATGTTTCAAGATAAAAGAGTGTCCGTGTTAGTTTTACTATTTTTTATTTAGTTTATTTAGTCAGTGTTAGTTTTATTATTCAGCCATGTTGCTGAATATATTTCTTAGCAACTCTAAATTTAAAAGCCAAGAGCGAGGCCAGGCATGGTGGCTTACTCCTGTAATCCCAGCATGTTGAGAGGCCAAGGCTGGAGTATTGCTTGAAGCCATGAGTTTGAGACCAGCCTTGGCAAGCTAGTGAGATCACATCTCTACCAAAAAAAAAAAAAAGAAAAGAAGCAATTTAAAAAATTAGCCAGGGATCATGGTGGACACCTAGAGTCCCAGTTGATCTGGAGGCTGAGGTGGGAAGAGTTGGAGGCTGCAGTGAGCTGTGATCGCACTACTGCACTCCAGCCTGGATGATAGTGAGATGTTTTTTCTAAAGATATAAAAATAAAAAGCCAAAAGCTAAAGAAGATCTATACGTTAATGTTTCCAATGGCGCTGTGAGTGCCAGGCAAGGAAAGCACTGATGTCAAGGCAGTGTAAGGAATGAGAAAGTGGGCAGTGGGGTCATAAAGCAGGAAGCACCAAAACAAGACTGGTCAAAGAGAGAGGGCGGTGGTGAGGAGGAGAATGGGAAGAGACTGCGGCCAAGACCACTGCCATCAAGGAAGGGAACTCTGTCGTGTGCTTGCTGCTGATCCAGAGCCAATCCAAACACTGAGTCCAGCAGAATGCGTAGATTGGAGCAGCAGAGGTACACCTAAGCAACTGCATCTCCTCAGCGAGTGGTATACACAGCATCAGCACCCTCTCAGGGTGCATTAGGAATGTAGAATCTCTGGTCTCAGCTTAGAGCTACCGAAATCAGAATCTGCATTTTAACAAGATCCCCAGTGATTTGTTACATTCACACTGAGTTGCAAAAAGCCCTTGTGGAGCATTCTGATTAAAGTACAGCCTTGGGATCAGAGAGAACTGAGTTTGAATATCCAATCTACATATTATTAGCCATGTAAACTTAGGGAAGTTGCTAACATTCTTTAAAGCCTTGGTTTCTTTATTTATAAAATGGGACTAATAATATCTGTCTCACAGGATTTTTGTGAAAATTGAGTGAAACAATTTAAATAGTGTAAAACATTTAGCCTAGAGTCTGGTAGGTAGTGATAGTTACCCTGAAAAAAAAAAGTTAGTTACTTTTTTAAAAAAAAAGAAAAAGAAATAAGGCCTTGCTCTTAAAAAAAGCAAAGAAGGAGGAGATATAATGAAATAATTATTTTTATTCACAGCACTTATTTTCATGGTTCAATAACTCATTATCATTCAACAAACATGTAGTAATCACCTATAGGAGGCCAGATATTATATTATACATTAGGAAAGTCAAATGTGAATAGAATGCCGTCTTTGCCCTTGAGAAGCTTGCTGTTTCAGGGAAGAAGACACTTAACAAGAAATGTGGGATGCTTGAGTTGAATTAGAAAGTATTCATAAGACTTTACCTAGAAGAAAAGGGGACATCCATTCCAGGAAGAAGGAAATCTCTAAGTTATTCTCAGATTTAGAAAGTGAATCTAAGAACCTGTTAGGATTCTCAGAACAACATAGAATATGAATGTAGTCAACACACCCAATGCCACCACTAGGTAGGAATAGAAATAGCAGACATTTATAAAGTAACAACTATTCTGATTTTCTGAAACTTTGATGAGATACACGTGCCAGCAATTCTAAGTCTTTACATAGGGATTTCCATGCATGTTTCATCCTCAAAATCATTGCATGGAGGTGATACTCTCAAGGTCTCTTACAGATGAGGATCCTGATTTATGGCAAGACCGAGTGACAAGCAGAGCTGGGCTTTGACCCTATGCCACCTGGCTATACAATGCACTGTTAACCATGTGCTACACTCTCATTAGATAATATGGCTCTTAAAAAAAGAATATGAAATCTTTAATTGATATATGTAAGCATTCTTAAAGAGGATGTTCATCAGGAAAGTGGAGCATCTGAGGGGCTCCATCTTCCTTCCTTAGCTGTTCAACTGGGCTCCCCAGTGCAGCAAAAGCACATTTGCAGGCAGCAGTACCAAATGTTAGATTTTACTAACATTCCTGTGGTCACAGGATGGACAGCAGTGACAGTCTTATGAGAAAACTGTTGGTAAACACCATACAGGAATCCCTGCTTTTGGTCATCATCTGGGGATTAAGACGGGAATTTTAAACTGTGTCTAATTGGAAAAAAGAAGGAAGGGGCTGGAGATGTGAGGAGTGTGATCACTATTCTTAGAAACCAAATGCTTTCCCAGTGAAGAAGAAATGGATAATTTTGATGATGCTCATTAACTAGATCCAGGAACAATGAGTATAAATCCATTCTTTCCTTTAACAAAAACTTTCTGCCAGTATTTATGGGGTGAACAATGGATATAAAATTCCAATAAGACTTTCAAATACCTCTTGTAGATCATTTTTAAGACCCATTTATATCATTTTGAACTATAATATATTGTACTATATATAATAAAACATTGGTTTAACATGAGAGAAGCTTATTTCTCTTTCATTTAAACAATTCTTACAGATAAGCAGCCAGCTTGGGGTGTGTATGGCAGCTTTAGCCATTAGAAACCAAGGCTCCTTCTCTCTTTCTAATCCACAATCTTCAAAGTTACCTCATAGCCCATTATGATTGCTGGAGCTCCTGCCCTTGCATGGCAAAAAGGGGGAAGAAGAAAAGACCAAAAAAAAAAAAAAAAAAAAAAAAAGAAGTGTAATCCTGGAAGAATCAGTTCTCTTTAAGGATCCTTCCTGGAAGTCATAATCAACATTTCTGTCATCTGCTGTCACTTGTTATTACCCTAAGTGCAAAGATCTCAGAAATAGACTCATTAATAGCTCAAATAAAATCTTAATAATAAAGGCAGAATAGATATTGAGTAATCAACTAGCAGCCTCTATCACACCTCCAACCTGAAGATTATCTTATTCAGCTTTCTTTCTTTCCCCCCTCTTTTTTCTATACTTTCTTCCATTCACTCAAAAAATATTAAGCATTGTCCAGGCGTGGTGGCTCATACCTGCAATTCCAGCACTTTGGGAGGCTGCGGTGGGCAGATCAAGAGGTCAGGAGATTGAGACCATCCTGGCCAACATGATGAAACCCTGTCTCTACTAAAAACGCAAAAATTAGCTAGGCATGGCAGCGCATGCCTGTAATCCCAGCTACTCTGGAGGCTGAGGCAGGAGATTTGCTTGAACCTGGGAAGAGGAGGAGGTTGCAATGAGCCGAGATCGCATCACTGTACTCCAGTCTGACAACAGAGCTAGATTCTGTCTCCAAAAAAAAATTAAGTATTTCTTTTGCTACACACAGAGAAAGGTATCAGTGGAAACACACACACACACACATACACACACACACACACAGATACAAGTGAGTGAGGAATTCATGAGGAAGACTCCTCTCCTGGATTTTTGAGTAATCTCACATATTCTCTAAAATATTAACTACTACCAATGTATTAGGAGTTTCACACAAATATCTAAGGCCACCTATTACCACCTAGGGCTGGGGCATGAGGGAAAGCCAGGGGTTTTCAGAACCTTCCAGCATTGGGGGAGAAGCCTTGCAGAGCTAGACCTCAGGTTTTTTGAAGAGGAGACATCGCTGACTTATTACAACGCCTCAGCATCCCAGAGCTGGGGTCTAGCAGAGCTAGGATTCTCTGAGGAGGGAGGAAGTGCTGTCTAAGTGGTGTTCTTATCTTTCAGGAGGTGAAATGAGGCTACTTCTGGATGTGCCTTAAAACAAAACAAAGCAAAACAAAAAAACACTAGGCTGGGTATGGTGGCTCACACCTGTAATCCCAGTACTTTGGAAGGCCCAGGTGCAAGGATTGCTTGAGCCCAGGAGTTTGAGACCAGCCTGGGCACCATGATGGGACTCTTATCTCTACAAAAATTTTAAAAAATTAGCCAGGTGTGGTTACGCACCTGTGGTTCCAGCTACTTGGGAGGCTGAGGCAGGAAGATTGCTTGAGCCTAGGAAGTTGAGGTTGCAGTGAGCCATATTAACGCCACTGCACTACAGCTTGGATGACAGAGTGTGACCCTATCTCAAAAACAAACAAACACACACAAAAAAACTGGAGATTGGCGCCAATGCTACTGCCAGGAAAAGGGCCAATTGCTGAAGTGTCTCTTACAGGAAAAACAAGCAATTCAGGAAGGGACAGGGCTCTTAAACCTCTCTACCTGCCTTTTATTTCACTCTGGTCCTGCTTAAAGGGAGGCAACTGACAAAGCAGAAAGAATGCTTGCAGAGTTCCAGCTCCAGCTTCATGAAGCATAACAGAGGAGGATGTCTTTACAGCCCAGAGACAGTGGCTTATACCAGTATAGTCTGCTTGACTGGCCACTCAGCATTTACACATACTTCTCTACACACACTTGAACTTCCAGATGATAGCAATCATAAATTTTCACTTTTGCCTAATTGGTTGTAGCTACCCTCTGTAAAACGAAGACTTGCTCACTCTCTTTCCAAAAATGGGAAACAAAATCTGTTCATGAACTAATTAAAGTCATTTTAATTTCCTCTTAACCTTTTATCCCTCTGTCCCAATTAAGCCCTAAATCTCACTTTTTAGTACCATTTCCCCTCCACTCTGTCTCGACCATGACTGCCTTTTCGGTTTGTACCAGCTTTTACACGGGCTATTGCAAGGGTTTTCAAATGTTCCTCCTGCCTTTTTTGTTCTTTCTTTTGTAGGATCTCTATACTCTCTGCAGAATAATCCACATACACCACACATATTTTTTCGCTGCCACCCTACATCCTTCAAAATAAAAGCTAGAGCCTTAGCTTGGCCTTCAAGATCTTCAATCAGAGGGCCTGGAAGAGGCTTTTCATCTCCATTGCAATGACTTCAAGCCTTCTACGTGAGATGTGAGTCTTTCAAAACTCAAAATTCTTACCCTCCATCATATGTCACCTCTATGTCTTTGTTTATATCGTCTGTCTAGGGTGGCCTTTCTACCTTTCCTCACGTGGCTTTCAAGACTCAGTTCAGAGAGCATCCCCTTCAAGAGCTACCCACACCACCCCCCACCAAATCCTAAGCCATGATGTGCACTTCTTTTATGCTCTACTTGCATCTCTAGATTTTACTTTCCTTATTATACAGCGATATAGTTTTAGATGCCTTTTATTCCCATTAGACTGTAAGTCCTTCAAAGCAGAGTTGGTATTTTTTTCCCTTTATATCTCTGCAGGTAGCACAGGAGCTAGCACCAAACATCTGCTTGAAACATGTTTATCTCTGTGTGTGAAATTCAGTTCAACAGATCCCAAATTCAGGCGACCGTCTCCCTTAAGGGCACCTTACATTGTTCCCTCATTAACTCATTTTTGAAAGTCAAATGGTTTGTTCCCTTTTCACCTATGAATCACAGGGCGTACCTTTTCTTTCCCTGAAGTACAGCACCTTGGGGTTTGACGTAGAAGTGATATATGAAGTTTAAACATTTAACCTTTAATTTGTGGAGCAAGCAGCATGCTAATTTGTAAAGATGCCCCCCTGGGGCTCTGGCTGAATGTTCTTTAGAGAATGCTGGAGGTGCCCTCTGGAATCTATTCTAGTGGAGTCAAAACCACTCACTGTTTCTCTGTTTCTGCTTCTCGGCAACAGTTTGGTCCATTGCGTCTTTTTCAGCTATGGAATTTAAAGGAAGGGCATTTTACAGACAAAACAGGAGGACACATTTCACAATGTATCATATAGTGTGCGTAGTGAGCTCTGGGAGGACCTCTGGACTGGGCACCAGTTCACATGGATTTTTTTTTTCCAGCTCTGACCTAAAACAGCATTTGACCAATTGCTGCACCTCTCCAGACCCACCTTTCCCCACTTTTTGGTGAGAGAAATGGGTGGTCTCTTAGGTTCATCCCTGAGCTTACATTCTTTGTGAATGTGTGTAGTTTCTAACATATATTTAATTTAAAGGTCCAGAAAGCCACAAACTGCAAAAGCAAATTCCAGTGACTGAGTTTTAATGTTAAACAAAGAGTGATTGGGAATAAAAGTCATTGAATTGGACCTCAGGGTTTATGAAGTTGCACCATATAGCATTGTGCTTTGTCCAACAGTGAAATTCCTGCTGGGCTTGATGATAACATCCTGATAATTCTCTACAGTTGTAGCTTACAATTCTCTCTCTCCCCTGCCTCTGAAGTAATGAGAACCTGACACTGTTAACTAATCTGCCGTAAACTTTATTGAAAAGTAAACTATCTTTTCAAATTTGCAATTTTACTCATTTGCAGATCTATTTACAGATATGCTCAAAGACAATTATTTGTCACCTGCTAAGAGTTCTTAAAAGCCGAAGCCAGCCTCCACTCCTGAGCTTTCTTCTAAATAGTAGTTTGTGGGCTCCTTAAAGGTGTGCTGGCTTGCTTTAGTTACTTAGCCACAAATCTTGAGATTCACAAAGAGATTATAGTTTTATGTCTCTTCACAAATCTACAAAAGACTTAATACAACAAAACCCTAGCCTAGATTAATATTCATGAAACCCTACAGATCATAGGGGAAGAACAGCTCTATTTAATTAGTGTACAGGAAAAAAGACAGACATATTTTCAAGAAAATTCCACAGGCATGATAAATACTATAATATTAGGACTGTGAACCAAGGTTACTTCTATCACCTTTGAAGGAAACAAGGAAAGGGAATAAGCTGAACTGAAGCATGGAAGAAAACTGAGGATCAAATGCTAAGCTGTCCTGGGGTGGAGGGGCCAGCGGCATTAGCTGGGGTGGTATTTGGAGTGGTCCAAGTGTAGAGATACTAACCAATGGAACCATTGGTTCAGTATATAGATACTATACATAGAGATATTTCATAGCTTATATTCATTTTGGAATGAAAAGGAATAGGAGTAATTTACAAATTATTTATATGTATAAATATGCTTAATATCAGTAAAATATTCCATATCTTAATACATAACACCGAGAAAAGTGTACGCTCATTAGGGAAAATCTCATGTGTCCCTGTATTGGTCAGGGTTCTCCAGAGAAACAGAACTAGGAGGAAAGATAAGGTTACAGATACAGATACAGATATATGGATATAGATATAGATACAGATACAGATACATAGACAGATACAGAGCGATATCTTCATATATATCTATACATCTTATATATATATTATATATAAATCTTATAGATCTTATGTATAGATGTCTTATAGTTTTATATATGTAATATATGTCACATACATAGATCTCTCTATATATAATATATATATACACACACACATACATACACACACACATGCACATGCACAAAGGAATTTGTTATAAGGAATTGGTTCACACAATAAGAGAGACCAAGAAGTCCAAGATCTGTTGTCTGAAGCCCTGAGAACTAGGAGAGCTGACGATGTAAGTTCCAGTCCAAGTTTAAAGGCAGACCAATGGCTTTACTTAAAGACAGCCAAGCAGAGAGAGTGAGTTATTTCTTGCTTAGCCTTTTCTTCTATTCAGACCTTCAACATATTGGATGAGGTCCCACCATATTGGGGAGGGCCATCTGCTTTACTCAGTCTAACAACCAAAATGCTAATCTCATCCAGAAACTCCCTCACAGACATACCCAGAATAATGTTTAACCAAATATCTGGACACCCTGTGGCCCAGTCAAGTTGACATATAAAATTAACTACTAGGATTCCTTTCCTAAGGAAAAGTGTCATAGTTATAACTGGTTATAACAGACTGACATTTAGGCAATACAGATGTTTGATGTTTGGGAGAAACCTGGAAGTAGTAGATAAGAGCACAGCCTCCTAAGCTATACTGCCTGAGTTCGAAGCCTGTCTCCATTGTTACTATCAATGGGCCCTTGAGCTGACTTATTTAAATTCTCCATCACTTTATCTGTAAAGTTGGTATAATAATAATGACAAATTCATAGAGTTACTGTGAGGATTAAATTAGTTAATTCATATCAAGTTATTTAGTCAATGCCTGACATGTTCTAAATGTTTTTGATAAATCTTAATTACTTTAAATATTCATCCAAATTTCAAAAAATTAGGAAATACATTTTTTCCCTAGCCAGACACAGTATTGTTAACATCTAGAAGCATATTATGGGAAGAATAAGGCTAAAAAATAAGGGTTGGTAATAAGTGATGTCATTATTTACTTTCATGAGATGTAAAAATGTGTAGATGAGAGAGAAAGTAAAATGAGAACAAGAAATCAGAATTTTTAAAAGCAAATGTAATAAGAACCTAGAGGACATTAAAAACCATTTGTAATCATCTGTGTCTCTATCCCATTCCTTTAAAGAGTCTTTTAAAAAATATTAACGATTTTAGAGGCCTTTTGCTCCACTGCCCAGACTAGAGGGCAGTGGTACAATCATAGCTCACTGCAGTCTTGAACTCATGGGCTGAAGCATTCCTCCCACTCCAGCCTCCCAAATTGCTCTGATTACAGGCATGAGCCACCATGCCCAGCTCCCCTTAAAGAGTCTTAAAAAAATCAACACCGCATATTGTAATTTTCAGCAAATCACTAATTTAACCTCAGACTGTGCCATGGAGTGAGTGTTTATGTATATTTTAAGATGGTATAAAACTGGATTTATTCTAAAAGCCAATTTGAACTAATACGGCAGTTTGATTTAAATTAGTGAAAAATCTAAACTATAGAATACCTTTTAGCAACATTCATTTACATTAGATTTATTTAACTTAATTCACATACTTGAAAGTGATAAAGTTGTAGCTTGATAAATAGCCATTGGGGACCAGTTTTAAAGACTAGATAAGAACATTTTATTTTTACATATCATTTGATGTATATTTTAAGTGCAATTAATGTACACATGGAAATAGTGTTTGATTTGTTAACTACATTAAAAATTCCTTCTAAAATTTTCTCCACATTGTTAATCTTTGAAGTAGGTTTAGCTGAGCAAAGGTAAGTAACAGAAAGCTGATCTTTATCCAATTTTCATAAATACTGAATCAAGCTTGCATTGATGAGATAAAACCTATTTGTGTAATTATTTTTCTCAGGCTCCACTAGGTCCTGAAAATTTGAAACCTGAGATGAAATTTAGGGTCTATATAGCTGCTTAAATTCAAAGAGTTTCTGGGCTACTATGTCTACTAAATGTCTTGGTGGAAAATTTTATAGAATTTGTATAGAAGAGATAATTAATTCATTCCCATTATAACAGGAATGTCAAGAAGGAGAGACCTGGTAAGTGAGACTGTGGAACTGAGTTTCCAGTTTTTAATCCTTTGGAAATTCCCAGATTAATGCCAATGAATGGCTAGGAAAGGAACTTACTTTGGTTCACTAAGCATTGTGTACCAGAGAGCATACTATATGTTTCACATGTTATTTTGTAATTATCACAACATCCCTCTGATATTGTCATTATTACCAGCTCCATTTCACTGTGGAGGAAATTGAGGCCCTGAGTGGTTCTATTAAAAGCTGTTAAGTCTTGAATGCAGAATTTGAATTCAGATCTGCCTGACACCAGAGCTCTTTAAACAGCATTATGCCATCTTCATACCACATCAGTTTCCATCAATTGCTGCATCCTCCACAACCTTATCCTGCAAGCCTTGTCTCATAACTCCAAACCCCATTGGTATGGCTGAATGTTTGCATCTCTCTGCACCCCTCAAATTCATATGTTGAATCCCTAATCCCCAATGTGGTGGCATTTGGAGTTGGGGTCTTTGGGAGGTAATTAGATAAGGTCATGAGAATTGAGCCCTCATGGTGAGATCTGTGTCCTTCTAAGAAGAGGAAGAGAGATCAGAGCTCACTCTCGCTTGGCCATGTGAAGACACAGTGAGAAAGCAGTTGTCTACAAGTCAGGAGAAGGCCCTCACCAAGAACCAAATCTGCTAAAATCTTGATCTTGGACTTTCCAGGCTCCAAAACTGTGCAAAATATATGCATGTTGTTTAAGCCTCCCAGTCTACGGTACTTCGTATAGCAGCCCAAGCTGACTGATGTGGCCATCCTCCCAGAAATGGTTCCTATTGCTGTCAAATAATTAGTTTAAAAAAAATTAAAACATGACTCTCATATGAATAAAGACTAAACATGCATAAAATATTTTATTCAGCTTCTTCATTAACATGGAAACTGATAGACTGGTAAAACTAGTTCAAAGAGCATTTTGAGGAATAATGTATTTATAGTCCACCAGGTAAGGTATTTTAAAATAAGTTTGCTGAGCTAGAGACAAAATTGGTTAAAGTCCTACAGGGCAATAACACTGTAAACTTTGGGATTAACATCTCTTCCAGACAGAAATCTACAAGTTAGCATGTAAATTTATGGAGTCTGAGCCCTCAGTAGTAAACAGCAAAGTCAAACACAGGTACCATTCCATAAATAATTACATAATCCTCTTTGAACAGACACGTCCCCTTCCCCCATGCTGTCTTAGTGCCAAGTTTTAAATAATTTTTCTTAACACTGTATTGCTATTTGCTCTCCTAGCACTTGCTTGACTTACCTTAAAATTTATGACAGTTTATATTCCTAATTTTGTCATCTTACCCTCTTTTAATTTCAAGCTATTTTAAGGCAGAAACAATATCTATCTCCTCTTCCCAGTAGGCTCAGCTCCTAGCTAGCACAGTGCCTAACATATAAAGAATGCTTGGTATTTGTAATTGAATAAATAAATGCATTTGAATTATATTTAATGTATTCATAAGTGGGTTGCTCAAAGCTTTCTCTAATGGGTAGAAATTCCAATAATAGTAGAAACCTCAGCTTTTTCTGTCAACAGCAGTGACAGATCCCCAATGACACCCAACATTGCTAAACTTCTGCAGGTAGTTCTCATTGGGTCACCTAGTTTCTCAGATATCAGTCTCCCTACGTATAAGAAAAAAATCACCAGGCCCTTCAGCAGCAGGGCAGCCTGATTTTATTCTCTCGGTATCATTACCTTGAAACTTTTTGCAGTAGAATTACTTAGACCACAGAGTACTACCTAGATTTCTCAGGAAATATATTCAATAACTTTTAGGAGAGAATGAAAATAACAAGTCTTAATATATAAAATTCTAGTTTCCTCCTGATATTTCCTTTTGCTGTTGCCCAAGAGTTTGACCAATGGTGAGATATCCCACATGTTAGGTTACAAGTGTTCAACTTTTCTTGCCCTATGCATCATGAAAAATGTAGGCCGGGCGTGGTGGCTCACGCCTGTAATCCCAACACTTTGGGAGGCTGAGGCGGGCGGATCACGAGGTCAGGAGATGGAGACCATCCTGGCTAACACGGTGAAACCCCGTCTCTACTAAAAATACAAAAAAATTAGCCAGGCGTGGTGGCGGGCACCTGTAGTCCCAGCTACTCAGGAGGCTGAGGCAGGAGAATAGCGTGAACCCGGGAGGTGGAGCTTGCAGTGAGATCATGCCACTACTGCACTCCAGCCTGGGCGACAGAGCGAGGCTCCATCTCAAAAAAAAAAAAAAAAAAAAAAAAAAAAAAAGAAAAAAAATATAATTGGCAATTGCTCGCTCCTGCCCTGATCCTCATAGGGCATATGAACATCAAGATGTTCATGTCGGAATCACCAGGGGAATCAATGACACTTGCAGCTTTCTAGGCAAGTGCACAGCTTCTTGCAATGCAGAACTGACGACCATGCTGTGCTCAAACTCTAGTAACTTGGGAATCTTGCAACAACCCCATGTTACTTTTGCTGTAAACTCCAAAGGACTCAGAATTGCTTATACAGAGAAAATCTCAGGAAGATTTTGGGGCATCTCTGAATGCTTTCTTTTAAAACTCTGCTCCATTTTGCATTTGTTTATTTGATGTACATTATTTTAGTTATTTTTCTGGATCTGCCTCCTATACGCTGTAGAACCTCAGGGCCTTAATTTTCTAACCCATAGATGAAACTTGTGCCTCTGTTACAAGATTGTGATGAACATCAAATGAAATGTAAATAAATTTACTTTGTAAATAAATGTAAATAATTTTACAAGCATATAGTGCAAATAATGTAAGTGAAATTACCTAGTGTAGTACCAAGCATATAGTGTGATATTATAAGCCTCTCTACTCATCTCCTTTACTTTTTCTATAATGAAATCCATATTTATATTTTTCCTTTGCAATTGTGCATTCCTGAACCCCAGGTCTGTTCAAACAGACATTGTGTCCCTTGTATATGACATATTTCCTTCTCTGGAGATGAGCTTGGCCAGCCCAGCCTGGACAGCTCACTTGAAATGTAGAACACAGAGGAAGGTCTGCCACAGTGGAAGAAAAAACTGTTACCATTGGCAGCAGCAACCAGTGGACATCCATGAAGGGACAGCTGAGGATTAGTCACAGACAAAACTGTGAATTACTCATTATGGCACAGCAAGTGCTTGTCACATGACATGTGCTGTGCTAAGTACTTATTTAATACCTTATTTATTTTTACAATGATCTTGAGAGGAAAATATTAATGCACTTATGTTAGGGTCAGAACATTGAAGCTAAAGGAGTTTTAATTAAATGAGTGGGTGTAAAAACTAGGATGTGAGCCCAGGCTAACTGCCTTTAAAACCTATAGCCTTAATGTTGAAGCTATACTGAGCACTGTCTGTCACTCTTAGATTCCTTTTCTCCAGGTTAGGTGCCAACCTGAACTTCTTAGTGTCTTTATAACATCTGTTTCTGTCCAGAAACACACACATTAAAGCACTGTCTGTATCCACTCTTTCTGGCTGGTACTTCTGCCGCTAGATTTTCCCTCCTGCTCCCATCAGAGTGGCTTCTGCCATGGCTTCCATTGTTCTTTGTGGCTTAATATGACCATGTGTGGAAATTCCAAAATAACACATTTGTATTGTATTTATTTATTTTTTGAAATGGAGTCTTGCTCTGCCGCCCAGGCCAGAGTGTAGTGGCACAATCTTGGCTCACTGCAACCTCTGCCTGTCGGGTTCAAGCAATTCTCTTGCCTCAGCCTCCCAAGTAGCTGGGACCACAGGTGTGTGCCATCATGCCTGGCTAATTTTTTTTTAGTAGAGACAGGGTTTTGCCATGTTGGCCAGGCTGGTCTCAAACTCCTGACCTCAAGTGATTCACCTGCCTTACCCTCTCAAAGTGCTGGGATTATAGACATGAGCCACAACGCCCGGCTCCCAACACAATTGTATTTTAATAAGAGTCACTATTTATCTGCTAAAGCTTAGCCCAAGTGATCACTTAAGTGGTGCAAATTTTAGGATCAGAGCCATCTCATGGTGTTAGAACCTTATTCTCCTCCACGGACTTGTACTCTTCCTATAAGTAGTTTCACTTTTCTGCGAAAACCATGTTTATGTTTTAATACTCAGCACTACTCTGGGTTTAATGCTTTCAATGTCATTTAAAAAACAGCTATCTTTGAGACAAACTCGGCTATGCTATCACTCTTATGTTACCTGGGCTCACCTCAAGCTCCTGACCTCAACCAATCCTCACACCTTGGCCACCCAAAGAGCTGGGATTATAGGTGTGAACCACCTGGTCTTTAGACCATCATTCTTCTAGAGAAGATGATTCCTTAGAAGTGAATATGGTAAACAACCCATCTTTCCTTATTTGCAAAGCAATATTTTGGATATTTTTTGAGGGCTAAGCTTGGTAAATTGTTTTGGACATAGTTTTGAAGATTTCACACCCTTTTTGGTTTCTTGAAAAACCAAATGTTTTCTTGAAAAACCAAAGGAGGTCTTTGTAGCCTCCTTTGCAGTCTGTCAGGTATTTTCTAGGTTTGTCCCATGTTTCACCTTAGCAGTTGAAAAACTTAAAAACTGGTTGTGGTTTAGGTAGGCCTGGTCTATTGCAGAATTACAGTAACTATCCTTTGTAACTCAGCACTCATTAAATGGTCTAAAATATACTGTTATCTTCAGCATCAGTATTTTTCCATTACTTCATCATAAATTAATTTTTCATGGACAACTAAATGGATCAACATTCTATAAGGCACAAGGCATGATACAATATTAATACAAATTGCTCAAGGTATTTTTATGTCTTTGAAAAACAGACCTTTTTTTAAAAGATAGGAAAGAAAGTAGCCTGTTTGTTGTTAAATATTAAAGCATTTTGAAAAGTTTGTTATACCTGTGTCTGTGACTGTGTTGGTAATCTTCTTTATTTTGATGTGTAAAGTACAGATCATGTTGAAGCTAAGTTTCATCTTGTGCTCATTAACATTAACTTCCTCAGAAGAACTGCAAAAGGAAAACGGGATCCTGGCCTTGAAGTCAAACAGAAAACTGTTTATTCACATGAAATAAAAATCTCTGTAGTTAGTGCCTTGGCCAGACACTCCTGAATCATTTTACTTGCTCTGAGGACCCAATCTCCCGGGTTCTGTCCATGGTGCTGATAGCTGGTTCCACTGAGAAGCGGGACACAGTGCATGAATGCAGCCAGGGAAGAGCCTGTGAGGGTGTGTTCCTTCCCTTCTTCCTGTAGAAAGATGGAAAACACTTTTCTATGGAACATAGGAGACCCAGACCTCACAAACAAACAAAATAGAGATGTATTAATGCCCCTTATAGTTTTGGAACAAAGAAAGGCACATATTCAGAGTAAACAGAAGAAAGACATGAACAAACCATTTTCTTTTCTTTTCTTTTCTTTCTCTTTCTTTCTTTCTTTCTTTCTTTCTTTCTTTCTTTCTTTCTTTCTTTCTTTCTTCTTTCTTTCTTTCCTTTCTTTCTTTCTCTCTTTCTCTTTCTCTCTTTCTCTCTCTCTTTCTCTCTTTCTTTCTTTCTGACAGAACCTTGCTCTGTCCCCCAAGCCAGAGTACAGTGACTCGATCTTGGCTCACTGCACCCTCTGCCTCCAGGGTTCAAGTGATTCTCCAGCCTCAGCCTCCCAAGTAGCTGAGATTACAGGCATGCACCACCACACCCAGCTAATTTTTGCATTTTTAGTAGAGACGAGGTTTCACCATGTTGGCCAGGCTGCTCTCGAACTCCTGACCTCAGGTGATCCACCTGCCTCAGCATCCCAAAGTTCTGGAATTACAGGCGTGAGCCACTGTGCCCAGGCAAACAAACCATTTTCAATACCTCAAGTGGCTAAGATTTAATAATAAAAAGAGTTCCTTATAAATTTATCAAAAAGAAAGGCAAGCAACCACAGAAAAGTAGAAAAAGCACAAAAGTAAGCAATTCAAGAATTGAAATGGTCAATAAATATGTGAAAATACATTCAGCCTCACTGATAGGGAAAGAAATGCACAATAAAGAAACCATTGAAATCTCACATTGTTTCAACCACCATATTTGCAACTGTTAAGACAAGATCTAATATCTAACTCTCACAAGGACACGGGGTAAAGCGCTTTGAGAATGGATGTTGGAATTATTCTAAATTTTATTAAATCCTACAATAGCTATTTAAATGAAATGATAAAAGCAAGGTGCTTCACTAAACATGAATAGCTATTAAACTTCTTTGCAATTAGACAAGGCAAATGAATATAATTAGTATAATTTTATGTCCAGCAAATAGAAATAAAATAAGTATGGCAATAACACAATTTTGCAAGAATGAGAAAACTGATGCTCTACTATTCAGAAAAAAAAGAAACTGTTTATAAGGTTAATTTTGTGTTATCTAGTAAAGTAATAGATACCTATATCTTATGCCCAGTGATTTTACCTCTAGAAACATATTCTATAAAATATTTGCATATATATATATATACGCAGAAGGGCAGGTACAAAAATGTACATTGCTGCTTTGTTGATAGTAGTGAAATCCTCTGGCAAACTAAACTTCCATCAATAAATGAATGAATACATTTTGGTACATTCGTATAACCTATGAATGCTACCTAGAATTATTAAAGTAAGTTAAAGTGAGTGTGTGTGTGGGTAGATCTCAAAAATAAAATGTTGAGTAAACATACAATTTAGTACATAATGTGTTTAGAAAAAGCACAAAACAATCCAATACATTTTTACAAATCTACCTCTCTCTCTCTCTCTCCATATATATATATATATATATATATATATATATATATATATATATACATGATATGTGTTTTTGTGTGTTTAAATTAGGTCTTGACATAGATGTATAAGTTTAAGAACTTAATCAGGAAACATTCATGCCAGATCTGTGACAGCAGCTGTCTGGGTAATAGGACTGGGTTAGATATCAGCTGTATCTTTAACATGATTTCTTTAAAACACGAGAAAATATGGCAAAATGTTAATGTTTTTAAATCACAGAAGATGCTGCTTACTTGGTGTTTATTTTACTACTCTGGACTCCTGTATGCTTGAAATTGTTCATAATTAAAAATAAAACAAATTGCATAATCATGTGTATAGTAGAAACCCATTTTGGGAAGAACAAACATCCTTATGCAAATGTTATGTGCATGTCAGCACAGAGGAGGCTGTGGAAGGACGAACATCAGATCATTAATCCCCTGGGTTGGGAAGGGAGTGTGCAGAAGAGAGGAGAACATTTTTTATAACTTATATATATTTGCATATACATTGTTTCATTAGTGGCAAAGAGGGCAGCTAGGTTTAGTAATTAAAAAATTTAATAAAGAAAATTTGATAAAAAAAGAGCAAATAGCATGAAGAAATAATTCACAGTAGAATAAATATAGATGACTTATAAATATTTGAAAAGAATGTTAATCCTCATAGTTATAAAAATTCAAATTGAAACAAGAATGAACTGCCTTTCTTCCACCTCTAACTGATTGGAGAAATCAAAACAGGTATGGAGAAAAAGGCGCTATAGATAAGCATGTAAATTGGTCTAACCTTTCCAGAGGGCAATCTGGCAATATATAAAAAGATTTTTAGGGAGAGTACTTGGAAAGCCCTGAAAAATTATTTGTGAGTACATTCATTGATGATAAAGAAAAAAATGATAACTGTCTTAATACCTATTAATAGGAAATGGAAAATGAATTATGGTGTATCTAAGCAAAGATAGGCTATATAGCTACTAAAAATTGCAATGTAAATAACAATGTGTTTATGAGAATGAATGACAATATTACATTGTTAAGTGAAAAAATAAGGTTAAAAAGACTAGTTTGCATATTCTGTTTTGTAAAAAATGAGTAAATAAAATGCATGAGTGCTTAAAGTAATACAAATTGTTATCAAAATGTTAACTCTAGAATGTGAGTTACAGATTATTGGCTCCAGAGTGTGATTATAGATTTAATGTATACAGTTTTTAGTATGTTCTCCAATTTCTTCACAGTGGAAGCATATTTCTTTAAATATCAAAATAATTTAATATAGGTACAAAAGTCCAATGAGAAATAAAAACATCAGTCCATAATAAAATGGGTATAATTAAATATCAAGGTAATAATATGAAAGATGAATTCAGGGAAATCTTTTGAGGTTAAGGAGAAAAATAGAAAATAGGAGAGAAGTGTAAACAAAATATGCAAGATACTGTGTAACCAGGATGCTAAACATTCATAGAATGAGCTAACTACAGGAGAGGGGAGACACAATGGAAATGGAAACAAAACAAAACAAAAACAAAAAAACAAAGCAATGAAAATGCAAGTCCTTTTCTTTCAAGCTGATGAATAAAAAGAAAGTTCAGGCCCGAAGCAGTGGCTCACGCCTGTAATACCAACACTTTGGAAGGCTGAGGTGGGTGGGTCACCTGAGGTCAGGAGTTCCAGACCAGCCTGCCCAACATGTTGAAACACAGTCTCTACTTAAAAAAATACAAAATTAGCTGGGTGTAGTGGTCCAAGCCTGTAATCCCAGCTACTCAGGAGGCCGAGACATGGTGATCGCTTGAACTCGGGGGGTGGAGGTTGCAGTGAGCCAAGATGGAGTCCCTGCACTCCAACCTGGGCCACAGAGTGAGACTTCACCTCAAAAAAAAAATTAAAAAATTAGCCAGCATCAGGGCACGAGCCTGTAATCACAGCTACGCTACTCAGAAGGCTGAGATGAGAGGATCACTTGAGCCTGGGAGGTGGAAGTTGAAGGGAGCTGAGACCATGCTACTGCACTCCAGCCTAGGTGACCAGAGTGAAATCCCGTCTCAACACACAGACACACACACCCCAAAAGTCCCTTCCTGTCCACCCACCTCCACCAAGTGTAATGGAGCTTATTTATGCATAGACATATTACAGGAGTAAAATTACAAGGTATCATGGGTTCTGTCTTTAAGTTAAAAATTGAAAACATGTTATCTCTACTTCCTCCTGGAACCCCCTAGCATGACAATAAATGGTTAAAGAACTCAAGAAGATGCTGAAGAAAAAACAGGAGAAGCAGAGGATGAGTGTAACTGACACAGAAGGCAGGATGGAGCTGAGACTTTGTCTGGCAGTGGGGGGCTAAGCAGGATAAAATGGTATTACTATTAGTGCTGTCAGTAGGAGCAATAGCCATCAATATAGGTACAAACCATTAATATTCTGTGAAAAATCTGAAAAGAAAATGCATTCATGAAACAAAAATTGCACATGTTAAAAAGGACATAAGGACAAAACTTCTTGAAATTAGAAGTTTAACCGCAGAAATAAAAAGTGCAATAGAAACACTGAAAACTAAAGCCATTGAAATCTCCCAAACATAGAAAATAAAACACACAAACAAAATTAGAGTTTCAATCCAGGAAGTCCACAGTCAAATAGTAAGTGTTCCATGGAGAAAAAAAAAAGAGAGGAAATTATTAAAGAAAAAATTCCAGTAGTATATCTGAAAATGGAAAGACACACAAAATAGAAACTTCCAAACACACACTTACACACACACTTACACACACACACACTCAGAATGAACAGCTCTATTCTTCTTGAAGTCAGAATCCAAATGATATTAGACTTCTCCCCAGCAACATTAGAGGCTGAAAGACAGTAAAGAATTATGTTCAGGGCTTGGCACGGTGGCTCACGCCTGTAATCCCAGCACTCTGGGAGGCCGAGGTGGGCGGATCACGAGGTCTGGAAATCGAGACCATCCTGGCTAACATGGTGAAACCCCGTCTCTACTAAAAATACAAAAAATTAGCCTGGCGTGGTGGCGGGCTCTTGTAGTCCCAGCTACTCGGGAGGCTGAGGCGGGAGAATGGTGTGAACCCGGGAGGCGGAGCTTGCAGTGAGCTGAGATCGTGCCACTGCACTCCAGCCTCGGCGACAGAGCGAGACTCAGTCTCAAAAAAAAAAAAAAAAAAAAAAATATTATGTTCAGAATTCTGAGGGAAATGATACCCAGTAAGTGAAAGTGATTTAAATGTGATGGGAAAATAAATATTTTAAGCCTTTAAAAAATCTACCTCTCGCGTACCCTTTCTTAGGAATGACTAGATATTGTCTTGCACTAAAACACAAAAGCAAACCAAGAAAAAAGACATGGAATCTAGGAAACATAAATGCTAGTAAAGGACAGAGAGAAAGTGTTCTAGAAAACGGGTAAGAGGAGATCTTGGGAGGACAGCTCTGCAGCCACCTGTATACATATCTTCGTTTGACCAGGCAGACCAGGATGACCCTATGAGAAGTGAGGGAGTGAATGGGTAGAGGAGGTAACAAAGTTGCTGGATATTACGGTGTGTTTGCTTAACTTGCCAGAAGATTTACAATTCCTTCAAGGGGTTTGAGCCTGAATTGGTGGTAGGTATGTACATAAGCCAAAAGATGAGGGAAGAATGAGAGGAGGGAAGGGAATTAAACAATAAAGGAAACATAAATATAGAACATGACACAGCTTAGCTGTTGATACTAAATTGTTCATATAAATAAAAGTACTAAATGTAGAGTTAGTAATTGGTGATGTCTCTACATAGGAAGCATGGAAGCATTGTGTCTATGTATTTCTACTGTAAGGGGAAATTGTAAGAGCAAAAATTTCTTTCTTTTTTTTTGAAGTCTGCACCTTTTTTTATTATTTTATTTTATTATTATTATACTTTAAGTTTTAGGGTACATGTGCACAATGCGTAGGTTAGTTACATATGTATACATGTGCCATGCTGGTGTGCTGCACCCATTAACTCGTCATTTAGCATTAGGTGTACCTCCTAATGCTATCCCTCCCCACTCCCCGCACCCCACAACAGGCCCCGGTGTGTGATGTTCCCCTTCCTGTGTCCATGTGTTCTCATTGTTCAATTCCCACCTAGGAGTGAGAATATGCGGTATTTGGTTTTTTGTTCTTGCGATAGTTTACTGAGAATGATGATTTCCAATTTCATCCATGTCCCTACAAAGGACATGAACTCATCATTTTTTATGGCTGCATAGTATTCCATGGTGTATATGTGCCACATTTTCTTAATCCAGTCTATCATTGTTGGACATTTGGGTTGGTTCCAAGTCTTTGCTATTGTGAATAGTGCCGCAATAAACATAAGTGTGCATGTGTCTTTATAGCAGCATGATTTATAGTCCTTTGGGTATATACCCAGTAATGGGATGGCTGGGTCAAATGGTATTTCTAGTTCTAGATCCCTGAGGAATCGCCACACTGACTTCCACCATGGATGAACTAGTTTACAGTCCCACCAACAGTGTAAAAGTGTTCCTATTTCTCCACATCCTCTCCAGCACCTATTGTTTCCATACAAGGAACTCAGTGGATAATATATAGACTCAGACACTAGTATTAAATGACTGCATAAACAAAATACTTAGGAATATGGAAACTAAACGTAAAAAATTTCAAGAAAGAAGATGACATAGGACACAAGAAGTTGTGATAAATGACAAGAAGCTGTGATAATCAGAAGCAGTGATTAGTCATGACAGCAAACATCTAATTTCAAAATAAATCAACAAGATAGGTACTGATATTTTCCCTATGTAAGGTGCAGAAAGCTTACATGTCCCCACCATGTTCTCTGAGCTGGTGTTGGAGCCAGGGTCTGGCCAGCTCCAGAGCTATGTACTCTTAACCACTCTGCAGTCCTGCCTCTTCCAGTATAAATGAATGACCTTCAGCAGAAATTGAAAGAGGATCCATTTGGTCTTTTACCCTTAAACGATTTTCCTCTTAATGAATGGTAAAGTTTAATGGCCAAGGATTACATGTAATTTTCTATTAGTTCAATCACACTACTTGATTAATAGTATATATTTATACATACAGATATTATTATACTTACTGAATAGATTCCACATTTTAAAAGCAAATAACCATAGAACTAACAAAATTCATAGATCGGATAGTATTAAAAATAGTTAAAAGAGAAATTATTGACATTAATAGCTTTGAGGGAGTGGAATTGTGTTTTAAAAGGTATACGTGTGTGTGTGTGTATCTGAGTGTATGTCTGCTATTAAGGGCTATGATGCTCATTAACTCTGTAATGTTGGGAGGAAAGTGGAGTGAAGTTAACCAGCATGGGAGAGTGAAGAAGCAGGCAGACAATAGGATTTTTAAAGTTCACTATCTCACTCCACTTTTCACTCTGGCTTTTTATACAGTAAGAAATTATTGCTCCCAACAGAACGATAGATTCATACTTCTCCCCCAATGCTTCACCAAATACTTAATCTTTACTTCAGCTCTACTTGGCTAGCTTTGATCTTCGGGGAAATAGAAAAGCCCATAATGTACATAAATTAGTTCTAGACTTCCCTCCCAGGGAATTTTGGAGCCCAGTTAAGAAGGAAATTCCTTAAAATTATAGAGTCGAATCAGTTGGTCAGGTTGTTATGTTTGTTTCCATGGGAACTAGCGTGCCCTTCCTCTGGCTACTTTTCCTCCATCCTTCTCCCCAGACACACAGGCTACTAATGAATGTCACCCTGGGTACTTTTCCTGAACAAGGTAATATATCTCCACAGAAAGAACTACTGGAGCTTCCCCACTTTTCTCCAATGCAGGGATATTACAGAGTCACAGATCACCTGAGCCAATTAAACTGGGGAATATAGCTACAATTTCCTCTAGCATTTTGATGCATTCGTTTGTTAATGAGGAGAGCTTGGGCGAGAGCTGGCAGTTGCTACACACACAACAGCTCAACCCTCCCTAAACAGCTCAGGAAGGAGCCCAGTCTTTGCACATCCTTAGTCAAGGCTGACGACACTCAAGACAGTCAGAATTCATAGTAGTTAGTAATTAGAGATTTTCTACGGCCAAAGCAATGGCTATTAATGCTACTAAAAATGCACGTTCTCAAGGCTCAGGCAGAATTCAGTAGGTACAGGGCCACCCCTAGGAGGAGGAGATGAGTGAGCAGCAGTGCAGCTGTAGTTGATTGGACATGCTCTGTGAGTCAGAAACTCTTCTGAGAGGAGACACACATGTAAATCTCACCCCAGCCTCTGAGGTAGGAGCCATCATGATTCCTTTTTGTAGGTGAGAACACTTGGGGATCGAATTCCTTTTTCTAAATCCATTCTTCTCTTCTCCTGCAATGATAATTTCAATCTCTTCATTTTTATGACAATATTCCCTGAACCTTGAGTCAGAGCTACAGGCTCCCAATCCTAACACATCTGTGTGGCTGTTGAGTTTTTATTTGGTATAATTATACAGAGGAAGTTGAAAGGACAGGATTTAAAGCTGTTATCAATATTGAATTTAGATTTGCAAACCTTACATGGATTCATGTACAGTATGATTTCCAGAAAACTGAAATTCATGCAAAATATGTGTGTGTGCATGTGTATATATACACATAAACATACTCATACATAGTTCACTAAAATGCAAAATTCATCAGCAGCACATTGTACCTCATCCCTTTACTATTTTCTCTGTTAATATAACTAATCCTCCCTCCACCTCACTTCACTTCTTTTTTGTTTGTTTGTTTTTTTGAGACGGAGTCTCACTCTGTCGCCTAGGCTGGAGTGCAGTGGTGCAATCTTGGCTCGCCGCAACCTCTGCCTCCCGGGTTCAAGCGATTCTCCTGCCTCAGCCTCCCAAGTAGCTAGGATTACAGGCACCCACCACCGTGTGGCTAATTTTTGTATTTTTAGTAGAGATGAGCTTTCACCATGTTGGCCTGGCTAGTCACTCGGCCTCCCAAAGTGCTAAGAGGTAGGGTCTTGCTCTGTTGTGTCCAATCTAGAGAGTAGTTGTGTGATCCTAGCTCACTGCAGCCTCAAATTCCTGGACTCAAATGATCCTTCTGCATCAGCCTCCCTAGTAGCTAGCACTACAGGTGTTCACAACCATGCTTGGCTAATTAAAAAAAAAAAAAAAATTAGGGATGTTGTCTCACTATGTTGCCCAGGCTGGTTGCCATTCCTGAGCTCAAGTAAGACTCCCACCTCGACCTCTCAAAGCATTGAGATCACATGCATGAGGCACTGTGCCTGGCTTTACCTCACTTCTGACTTGACTTTAGACCTAGACTTTACCTCTTCTCTCACTTTAATGTCTTAGCCACCACTTTGATAATAGGAGAGGGGTACTGCCCAGAGAATTTCAAGGAGGTGCTAAAATCTATTAAGAGGGCAACTTTAGCAAAGACTTGGCCACTTAAGCAAAATTCTTTTGAATTCCTGTATTGTGAGACATAAAGGGAGGATGGAACATTGCCATGGAGGTGTCATTGAAAGAGAAGCTTTGTTGTATATGTTCCAGGCAAAGATTTGCTATATTTTTCTATCATTACAGGAGGGTGATGATAAGGATGGCTGCCTGGAATGTCAGTCCAGGAAAACTGGTGCATTCATTCATTCATTATATTATTCATCAACACTCCAAACATGTGTGGAACTTCTAAATGTCTGGATGTCCAGGGCATATAAAGCTGAATGCACAACCCAGAACCCATGTAAAGATTTAAAGTCTATTTATATTTTGCAAGGTAAAGGATTCTTAGTATATCTTAGAATAGAGTGGATAAACTTTCTAAAGTGTCAGATAGTAAATATTGGTAAATATTTTAGGATTTGTGAGCTACGTATTCTATGACTCTTCTTCCTCTCTTCTCCTTCTTCCTCCCATTTTCCCCTCCTCCTCCTCTTCCCCTTCCTCCTCTTCCTCTTCCTCCTATTCCCCTTCCTCCTCCTCTTCCTCTTCCCCTTCCTCCTCCTGCTCTTCTCCTCCTTCTCTTCTCCTCCCCCTCCTGCTCCTTTCCCTCCCCTTCTCCTCCTCCTCCTTCTTTCCTCTTCTTCTTCCTCTTCTTCCTCCTTCTCCTTCTCCCTCCTCTTCCTCTTCTTCTTCTTCCTCCTCTTCTTCTTCTTCTCCTTCTTGTTCTTCTCCTTCTCCTTCTTCTTCCTCCTTCTCCTTCTTCTTCTTCCTCCTTCTCCTTCATTCTTTCAGAATATAAAAACTTTTCTTACTTAGATCACTGGTCATACAAAAACAAGCTGTAGGCTGAATTTGGGGCATAGGCTACATAGTTTTCCACTTCCTGTCCCAGAGCCTTGCTACTCAGTGTGGTTCACGAATCAGCAGCATCAGTAACATCTTGGATCTTGTTTGAAATGTAGGATATCAAACCCCAGTCTAGACCTACTATATCAGTAAAGTATCACTGTGCAGTAAATTACCACAAAACACAGTGGCTTAAAACAACAGTCATTTATAATTGTTCATGAGTATATGGATTGGCCAGGAGGTTCTTATCATCCTGGTTAGGTTCCCTCATGCATCTACTACAGTAACCAGCAGGTGAGCCAGATGGCTCTGCTTCTAGATGTTTGACTATCATCTGGGGTACCTTGGTTTTCTTTCATGTGGCCTCTCATTCTCCAGCAGGTTAGCTTGGGCTTATTCCGTGGTAGTTATAACATTCTTTTTTTTTTTTTTTTTTTTTTTTTACAGCTTCTGCTATTATTCTTTTTTTTTTTTTAATTATACTTTAAGTTTTAGGGTACATGTGCACATTGTGCAGGTTAGTTACATAGGTATACATGTGCCATGCTGGTGAGCTGCACCCACTAACTCGTCATCTAGCATTAGGTATATCTCCCAATGCTATCCCTCCCCCCTCCCCCGTCCCCACCACAGTCCCCAGAGTGTGATATTCCCCTTCCTGTGTCCATGTGATCTCGTTGTTCAATTCCCACCTATGAGTGAGAATATGCGGTGTTTGGTTTTTTGTTCTTGCGATAGTTTACTGAGAATGATGGTTTCCAATTTCATCCATGTCCCTACGAAGGACATGAACCCATCATTTTTTATGGCTGCATAGTATTCCATGGTGTATATGTGCCACATTTTCTTAATCCAGTCTATCATTGTTGGACATTTGGGTTGGTTCCAAGTCTTTGCTATTGTGAATAATGCTGCAATAAACATACGTGTGCATGTGTCTTTATAGCAGCATGATTGATAGTCATTTGAGTATATACCCAGTAATGGGATGGCTGGGTCAAATGGTACTTCTAGTTCTAGATCCCTGAGGAATCGCAACATTGACTTCCACAATGGTTGAACTAGTTTACAGTCCCACCAACAGTGTAAAAGTGTTCCTATTTCTCCACATCCTCTCCAGCACCTGTTGTTTCCTGACTTTTTAATGATTGCCATTCTAACTGGTGTGAGATGATATCTCATAGTGGTTTTGATTTGCATTTCTCTGATGGCCAGTGATGATGAGCATTTTTTCACGTGTTTTTTGGCTGCATAAATGTCTTCTTTTGAGAAGTGTCTGTTCATGTCCCTCGCCCACTTTTTGATGGGGTTGTTTGTTTTTTTCTTGTAAATTTGTTTGAGTTCATTGTAGATTCTGGATATTAGCCCTTTGTCAGATGAGTAGGTTGCAAAAATTTTCTCCCATGTTGTAGGTTGCCTGTTCACTCTGATGGTAGTTTCTTTTGCTGTGCAGATGTGCAGAAGCTCTTTAGTTTAATTAGATCCCATTTGTCAATTTTGGCTTTGGTTGCCATTGCTTTTGGTGTTTTGGACATGAAGTCCTTGCCCACGCCTATGTCCTGAATGATAATGCCTAGGTTTTCTTCTAGGGTTTTTATGGTTTTAGGTCTAACGTTTAAATCTTTAATCCATCTTGAATTGATTTTTGTATAAGGTGTAAGGAAGGGATCCAGTTTCAGCTTTCTACATATGGCTCGCCAGTTTTCCCAGCACCATTTATTAAATAGGGAATCCTTTCCCCATTGCTTGTTTTTCTCAGGTTTGTCAAAGATCAGATAGTTGTAGGTATGCGGCATTATTTCTGAGGGTTCTGTTCTGTTCCATTGATCTATATCTCTGTTTTGGTACCAGTACCATGCTGTTTTGGTTACTGTAGCCTTGTAGTATAGTTTGAAGTCAGGTAGTGTGATGCCTCCAGCTTTGTTCTTTTGGTTTAGGATTGACTTGCCGATGCAGGCTCTTTTTTGGTTCCATATGAACTTTAAAGTAGTTTTTTCCAATTCTGTGAAGAAAGTCATTGGTAGCTTGATGGGGATGGCATTGAATCTGTAAATTACCTTGGGCAGTATGGCCATTTTCACGATATTGATTCTTCCTACCCATGAGCATGGAATGTTCTTCCATTTGTTTGTATCCTCTTTTATTTCATTGAGCAGCGGTTTGTAGTTCTCCTTGAAGAGGTCCTTCACATCCCTTGTAAGTTGGATTCCTAGGTATTTTATTCTCTTTGAAGCAATTGTGAATGGGAGTTCACTCATGATTTGGCTCTCTGTTTGTCTGTTGTTGGTGTATAGGAATGCTTGTGATTTTTGTACATTGATTTTGTATCCTGAGACTTTGCTGAAGTTGCTTATCAGCTTAAGGAGATTTTGGGCTGAGACGATGGGGTTTTCTAGATAAACAATCATGTCGTCTGCAAACAGGGACAATTTGACTTCCTCTTTTCCTAATTGAATACCCTTTATTTCCTTCTCCTGCCTGATTGTCCTGGTCAGAACTTCCAACACTATGTTGAATAGGAGCGGTGAGAGAGGGCATCCCTGTCTTGTGCCAGTTTTCAAAGGGAATGCTTCCAGTTTTTGCCCATTCAGTATGATATTGGCTGTGGGTTTGTAATAGATAGTTCTTATTATTTTGAAATACGTCCCATCAATACCTAATTTATTGAGAGTTTTTAGCATGAAGGGTTGTTGAATTTTGTCAAAGGCTTTTTCTGCATCTATTGAGATAATCATGTGGTTTTTGTCTTTGGCTCTGTTTATATGCTGGATTACATTTATTGATTTGCGTATATTGAACCAGCCTTGCATCCCAGGGATGAAGCCCACTTGATCATGGTGGATAAGCTTTTTGATGTGCTGCTGGATTCGGTTTGTCAGTATTTTATTGAGGATTTTTGCATCAATGTTCATCAAGGATATTGGTCTAAAATTCTCTTTTTTGGTTGTGTCTCTGCCCGGCTTTGGTATCAGAATGATGCTGGCCTCATAAAATGAGTTAGGGAGGATTCCCTCTTTTTCTATTGATTGGAATAGTTTCAGAAGGAATGGTACCAGTTCCTCCTTGTACCTCTGGTAGAATCTGGCTGTGAATCCATCTGGTCCTGGACTCTTTTTGGTTGGTAAACTATTGATTATTGCCACAATTTCAGCTCCTGTTATTGGTCTATTCAGAGATTCAACTTCTTCCTGGTTTAGTCTTGGGAGAGTGTATGTGTCGAGGAATGTATCCATTTCTTCTAGATTTTCTAGTTTATTTGCGTAGAGGTGTTTGTAGTATTCTCTGATGGTAGTTTGTATTTCTGTGGGATTGGTGGTGATATCCCCTTTATCATTTTTTATTGTGTCTATTTGATTCTTCTCTCTTTTTTTATTAGTCTTGCTAGCGGTCTATCAATTTTGTTGATCCTTTCAAAAAAGCAGCTCCTGGATTCATTGATTTTTTGAAGGGTTTTTTGTGTCTCTATTTCCTTCAGTTCTGCTCTGATCTCAGTTATTTCTTGCCTTCTGCTAGCTTTTGAATGTGTTTGCTCTTGCTTTTCTAGTTCTTTTAATTGTGATGTTAGGGTGTCAATTTTGGATCTTTCCTGCTTTCTCTTGTGGGCATTTAGTGCTATAAATTTTCCTCTACACACTGCTTTGAATGCATCCCAGAGATTCTGGTATGTTGTGTCTTTGTTCTCATTGGTTTCAAAGAACATCTTTATTTCTGCCTTCATTTCGTTATGTACCCAGTAGTCATTCAGGAGCAGGTTGTTCAGTTTCCATGTAGTTGAGCGGCTTTGAGTGAGATTCTTAATCCTGAGTTCTAGTTTGATTGCACTGTGGTCTGAGAGATAGTTTGTCATAATTTCTGTTCTTTTACATTTGCTGAGGAGAGCTTTACTTCCAACTATGTGGTCAATTTTGGAATAGGTATAGTGTGGTGCTGAAAAAAATGTATATTCTGTTGATTTGGGGTGGAGAGTTCTGTAGATGTCTATTAGGTCCACTTGGTGCAGAGCTGAGTTCAATTCCTGGATATCCTTGTTGACTTTCTGTCTCGTTGATCTGTCTAATGTTGACAGTGGGGTGTTAAAGTCTCCCATTATTAATGTGTGGGAGTCTAAGTCTCTTTGTAGGTCACTCAGGACTTGCTTTATGAATCTGGGTGCTCCTGTATTGGGTGCATATATATTTAGGATAGTTAGCTCCTCTTGTTGAATTGATCCCTTTACCATTATGTAATGGCCTTCTTTGTCTCTTTTGATCTTTGTTGGTTTAAAGTCTGTTTTATCAGAGACTAGGATTGCAACCCCTGCCTGTTTTTGTTTTCCATTTGCTTGGTAGATCTTCCTCCATCCTTTTATTTTGAGCCTATGTGTGTCTCTGCACGTGAGATGGGTTTCCTGAATACAGCACACTGATGGGTCTTGACTCTTTATCCAATTTGCCAGTCTGTGTCTTTTAATTGGAGGATTTAGTCCATTTACATTTAAAGTTAATATAGTTATGTGTGAATTTGATCCTGTCATTATGATGTTAGCTGGTGATTTTGCTCGTTAGTTGATGCAGTTTCTTCCTAGTCTCGATGGTCTTTACATTTTGGCATGATTTTGCAGAGGCTGGTACCGGTTGTTCCTTTCCATGTTTAGCGCTTCCTTCAGGAGCTCTTTTAGGGCAGGCCTGGTGGTGACAAAATCTCTCAGCATTTGCTTGTCTGTAAAGTATTTTATTTCTCCTTCACTCATGAAGCTTAGTTTGGCTGGATATGAAATTCTGGGTTGAAAATTCTTTTCTTTAAGAATGTTGAATATTGGCCCCCGCTCTCTTCTGGCTTGTAGGGTTTCTGCCGAGAGATCCGCTGTTAGTCTGAAGGGCTTCCCTTTGAGGGTAACCCGACCTTTCTCTCTGGCTGCCCTTAACATTTTTTCCTTCATTTCAACTTTGGTGAATCTGACAATTATGTGTCTTGGAGTTGCCCTTCTCGAGGAGTATCTTTGTGGCGTTCTCTGTATTTCCTGAATCTGAACGTTGGCCTGCCTTGCTAGATTGGGGAAGTTCTCCTGGATAATATCCTGCAGCGTGTTTTCCAACTTGGTTCCATTCTCCACATCACTTTCAGGTACACCAATCAGACGTAGATTTGGTCTTTTCACATAGTCCTGTATTTCTTGTAGGCTTTGCTCATTTCTTTTTATTCTTTTTTCTCTAAACTTCCCTTCTCGCTTATTTCATTCATTTCATCTTCCATTGCTGATACCCTTTCTTCCAGTTGATCGCATCGGCTCCTGAGGCTTCTGCATTCTTCACGTAGTTCTCGAGCCTTGGTTTTCAGCTCCATCAGCTCCTTTAAGCACTTCTCTGTATTGGTTATTCTAGTTATACATTCTTCTAAATTTTTTTCAAAGTTTTCAACTTCTTTGCCTTTGGTTTGAATGTCCTCCCGTAGCTCAGAGTAATTTGATCGTCTGAAGCCTTCCTCTCTCAGCTCGTCAAAATCATTCTCCATCCAGCTTTGTTCCGTTGCTGGTGAGGAACTGCGTTCCTTTGGAGGAGGAGAGGCGCTCTGCGTTTTAGAGTTTCCAGTTTTTCTGTTCTGTTTTTTCCCCATCTTTGTGGTTTTATCTACTTTTGGTCTTTGATGATGGTGATGTATAGATGGGTTTTCGGTGTGAATGTCCTTTCTGTTTGTTAGTTTTCCTTCTAACAGACAGGACCCTCAGCTGCAGGTCTGTTGGAATACCCTGCCGTGTGAGGTGTCAGTCTGCCCCTGCTGGGGGGTGCCTCCCAGTTAGGCTGCTCGGGGGTCAGGGGTCAGGGACCCACTTGAGGAGGCAGTCTGCCCGTTCTCAGATCTCCAGCTGCGTGCTGGGAGAACCACTGCTCTCTTCAAAGCTGTCAGACAGGGACATTTAAGTCTGCAGAGGTTACTGCTGTCTTTTTGTTTGTCTGTGCCCTGCCCCCAGAGGTGGAGCCTACAGAGGCAGGCAGGCCTCCTTGAGCTGTGGTGGGCTCCACCCAGTTTGAGCTTCCTGGCTGCTTTGTTTACCTAAGCAAGCCTGGGCAATGGCGGGCGCCCCTCCCCCAGCCTCGCTGCCGCCTTGCAGTTTGATCTCAGACTGCTGTGCTAGCAATCAGCGAGATTCCGTGGGCGTAGGACCCTCCGAGCCAGGTGTGGGATATAGTCTCGTGGTGCGCCGTTTTTTAAGCCAGTCTGAAAAGCGCAATATTCGGGTGGGAGTGACCCGATTTTCCAGGTGCGTCCATCACCCCTTTCTTTGACTCGGAAAGGGAACTCCCTGCCCCCTTGCGCTTCCCAGGTGAGGCAATGCCTCGCCCTGCTTCGGCTCGCGCAGTGTGCGCACACCCACTGGCCTGCGCCCACTGTCTGGCACTCCCTAGTGAGATGAACCCGGTACCTCAGATGGAAATGCAGAAATCACCCGTCTTCTGCGTCGCTCACGCTGGGAGCTGTAGTCCAGAGCTGTTCCTATTCGGCCATCTTGGCTCCTCCCCCCAGTTGTAACATTCTAAGAAAGGAAATGGCCTAGAGGTAGCATAATGTAACTTTCGTCATATTCTGTTGGTTAAAGCAAACCACAGGCCAAAGTAGATTCAGATAGAAGGCAAAGAGCTTCTATCCCTTGTTGGTAGGGGCTGCAGAGTCATGTTGTGAAGGACATGGGCATAAGGAGAGATGCAGAACTGTGGCCATGTTTACAATCAGCCACTCCTACTAAATCAGAATCTCTGCATAGTAGCAAGATTCCCAGGTTGTTCATAGGCATATTGAAAGAGATTTGTTCTAAGTATTTTCACAGTTATTTGCAGATTCCAGTTTTCCATTCTTTCCTCCTGAAACAGTTCCATATTCATGTTCAGTATCCAACATATTTATGTTAGAATATTTATTATTCTCAAAAAACAACCAGAAGTCAGACAGGGCTCAGAATAGGTACTCAGACACCTAGCATCAACCAGGAAAGAGAGCGAATTCAAACTATTGCAGCTCCAACTGTAAGAGAGCGTATTCTGTCAGGCGGCACAGTGCTACGCAGCTTAATTTCCTCTACACTCACCACCTGAATTCCTCAGTGCTTCAGACAGCATTGCTTCCCAGTCCAGGATGGTATTTTTCTGTGACCTTCAGCTTGTGAAGGAGGTGTTTCCATTGACAAATTGACGTTTACCTTGTAGTTACATAAGGCCAAATTCTATGTATGAGCCATTCGTGTGTCATAAACATGAACAGAGAAGCCCTCTGAAGCAATAGATGAATAACGATGAAGACTTTTCTCTGAATATGCTGTAAAGACTCTTCCTTCCTACAAAACTTGAATGGATTCACAGCACAAATAGAAGAGTGCTAATTTATGATATGTTGCCTGATATCTAACAGCACAGGCTTCAAATCCAGACTGCCTGGGTTCACATCCTAGCCCTGCTGCTGACTATGTGTAACCTTGGGCAAATTACTTAATCTCTATGTGTTTTAGTATTTTAAGCTGCGAAATGAGAGTAGTAGTAGTCACTCATGCATATAGGTCTTAGGGGATTAAGTTACTTGCTATTTGCAAATAATCAGAAGAGTATTCCATTATTATTATTAATATAATTATCACGACTATTTCTTATCATCAGAGAAGTCAGTCGGTCTGTATACAAAGAAATACTTTCTTGAGATTGTAAGTGAATAATAAAAAATTTTTAACTAAAAATTTCTTTTCTTTTCTTTTTTTTTTTTTTTTTTTGAGATGGAGTCTTACTCTGTCGCCCAGGCTAGAGTGCAGTGGCACGATCTCAGTTCACTGTAACCTCCAACTCCTGAGTTCAAGCAATTCTCCTGCCTCAGCCTCCCAAGTAGCTGGGATTACAGGTGCACGCCACCGTGCCTGGCTAATTTTTGTATTTTTAGTAGAGAAAGGGTTTCTCCATGTTGGCCAGGCTGGTCTTGAACTCCCGACCTCAGGTGATCCACCCTCCTCAGCCTCCTACAGTGCTGGGATTACAGGCATGAGCCACAGTGCCCAGTCTGAAAATTTCAATCTTCTTTTCTTGGCAGAATCCTTAAACTTTGTGTATTAGTCAGATTTCTGCGACACCATAATATTCTGGATGTATATGGATGTATATATATCCTGGGTTTAAAGAAACATTCCATTTTCCATAGTTGGTAATACTTCTAAATCTTAACCTATGTAATTATGCTGTTTGCAAATGTGACAGCTCTGGATACTAGCACAACTGCAATACCATGCTGTTACTTAAAATCATAATGGTCATAGTTATTCTAATTAGTACTCTTATTTGTGGTTTGTTTCCACACAAACTTTCCCTGGGGGTAACGTTAGTTACCACCCTTGACTCTTGTTCATGTTGACCAAGGGGTTGATTCATCACAGACTTGTAATCTACAAGCAATATGCAGAGCTTGGGGAGGGGGTGTGGTAATAATAGAATACAGAGCAGAAAAGTTGGAAGGAAGAGAAAAGTGAGAAGGAATGACAAAGGCTAATGCTCAGCATCTATAGCAGTTTTTTTAAATAAATAATTTATATGCTCAGTCTACATTTAGAGATTTAAACAGTCACACAGTAAAATATTTAATATCAACCACGAGTGGCCCAACGTAATTCTCTCTAAGTGTCATTAGCATGAGAATAAGACATCTCTAATTCTCTAGCAAGAGAGCCCGGCACATAAAAGGAAAGGAGTATTAGGTGCTATTGAAATGAGCAAACTGTACCAACTACACCATGAGTGTAGATTCCTCACCAAATGCATTAGAGTCATAAATTGTTTTTATGAAGCTACAAAAGTTCTTTGGGCAAGCCTCTGAAGTTGGACAAAAATAGTGATCGCCAGAAAACTACATGGTCTTTCTTATATTTTGGTGCCATATATGTTGTTAAAATTCTTCAGTTACAAAAAGAAAAGGCAGCATCAACAATATGTAGTTTTCACCTTGAAAAATAAATCGGTCTCAGTAGCTTCTGACCATCTGTCCACCATATGTGAAGACTTTCTAACAAAAGAAAGCCTCTCCTCTAACAATTATTTTGTGTTAATTTATTTTCTTTTATGTAAAAGTAAGTTTTGTATAAATATAGATTTTATGGATATAGAATTAACGCATGTCTGAGGTAGAGAATTTAGAAACTATAAAAAATTAGAAAGATGAAAATAAAAACTAGCCACAATCTAACTACTCAGAAAACCACTTTAAATATTTGTACGTAACTTATCTTAGTATTAAAAAATTAGGAAATGTTAATCATATATTCCCTCTTGATTAATGATAAAAGATAATTAAATCATTCCTGACTAAATCATGTCTAAAATGATAAAAATGAACACTCTTATTCACTCTCTGAATCTCAATAGATCAACATAGTACTTACCCATTTAAAATATTTTTTATTGAAGCATAATAAAAACCTAGAAAAATGCACAAATCATAGGTGTACAGCTTAATGCATTTCAATGAAATGAACATCCTAGTATATCCAGCATCCAGATTAAGAAGTAAAACATCACCAGCATCATACATGCCTCCTCTTTTGTCCCCTTCCAGTCATTACACCCTCTGCACTATCCTGACTTCTAACACTGCATATTACTTTTGCCTGTTTTTGAACATTATATCCATGGAATCATATGACGTGTCTATTTTGGGGCCTGGCTTTATTCTATCAACATTAGTTAGCAGATTTCCATTTTTTTGTAGTATGTATTTTCCTGTATATAAAAATATTATATGTGACTACAATTTCAATATGATTAATGTTTAAAATTCAAGGTTTTTAAAAATATATTGCAACAAGGCCGGGCACAGTGGCTCATGCCTGTAATCCTAGCACTTTGGGAGGCTGAGGCAGGTGGATTGCCTGAGTTCAGGAGTTTGAGACCAGCCTGGGCAACACGGTGAAACCCCATCTTTACTAAAATACAAAAATATTAGCTGAGCACGGCAGCTTGTGCCTATAATCCCAGTTACTCGGGAGGCTGAGACAGGAGAATCGCTTGAACCCGGGAGGCAGAGGTTGCAGTGAGCCGAGATTGCGCCATGTCACTCCAGCCTGGGTGTCAGAGAGAGACTCCATCCCAAAAAAAAAAAAAAAAAATATATATATATATATATATATATATACACACACACACACATATATATAGCAATTACTTGAACTGACACACAAGAAATAGTAAGCTGCTAATTCAGGGTTTTATGATCAATTACCTAGATTAGGGGTGTCCAAACTTTTGACTTCCCTGGGCCACATTGGAAAAAGAAGAATTGTTTTGGGCCATACATAAAATACACTAACACTAATGATAACTCATGAACTAAAAAAAAAAAAAAAAACACAAAAAAATCCCATAATGTTTAAGAAAGTTTATGAATTTGTGTTAGCCACATTCAAAGCTGTCCTGGGCCACATGTGGCCCACAGGCTATGGGTTGAACAAACTTGTTCTAGATCTTCAAGAATGCACTTGCCTGATAAAGGCTGATATAATAAACTGAAATGCATGCTTTTTGATCTTCTTATGTTTGTCTTTTATCATCAGACTGTGTTTTCCTCTTTAAAAGGCAGTGGAGAGAAGTGTTACTTTGAACATTAATTCTTTGTTGAGACTCTAGTGAAAACATGAGAGCTAGAAAGAAGCACATCCTACAGCATAATATTTCAGAGCTAGAAGAGACATTAGGTATTAAGTCTAAGCCCTCTGGACTTGGGGCTAAGACAAGGTAAGTTTACTAATGTCACACAGTTGTTAGAGGCAATGGCCCTGCCCGACATTCTCTCTAACATGACTTGGTATCTCACAATTTTAGTTTGGATTGATTGGGAAACATTTGCTGAGAAAAATATAATAATCTTACATTTGGCAGCTTCTCTATACCTCTTGCTTAGTTTAATGGTCAGCTTTATTACTCTATGTTTTAAAGAATGGTACCGGAAAAAATTAAATAGTGTAAAATCATGTCATATTTCACTGCAAGTTCACAGGTTTTATCTAACTCAACACTTATTTTACAGATGACAAAACTGAGACCATAGAGATTAAATTTTGGTTGAGTCATCTTGACAGTATAAATCTGGTATCTTCTTTGTTTTTTCAGAATTCTTCTTTTTGTGCCAGTCGTTATTACTCTATTAGTGTTGGAAGCAAATTTCACGTTTCCATTCCTCCTTGCTCCTATTCCCACCACCTGGTGAGCTACCTCCAGGAAGAAGATGGTGCTGTTTTTCTTACCAGGGCATCAGAACTCCAACCTTAAGTGCAAGCTGTATTTACCACCACTTTTGAGGCAAGACCAAACATGCTTGATGAGCTCAGGTGGCAAACTTACCAAAAGCCTACTTATGGGGTTGGGGAAATTTGGGAAGATTAGAAGAATGCACACGTATCTAAGAGGGAAGACTATTTAGAGAACTGCATAAGTTATGTCTAAGACTTTTTTTTTTTCCTTAAGAAATTAGGCTCCAAAACTTAGTCTGCAACTTCTGGAGAGAAGGATTTCAGGCAGAAGCTCAAGGAACTCTTCTACACAACTCTATGAGCTGGGCGATCCCAAGCCACACACATTCACACCCATCCATCTTGTTTCCTAGGCTCCTACCACAGAGTTTGAAAATGACAAATAATTTGGCACTCTCCCCTAAAGTTAGTGATGGCCATGTGAGCCAGGTCTGACCAATATTCCTTCATAAAAAGAGAAACGTCTATTCAGACTTTCTGCCTACTTTTAAATTCACATTATTTGGAGGTTTTCTTTTTTCTATTAAGTTGCTTGAGTTCCTTATCTATATTCTGGTCATTAATCCCTTGTTGGGTGAATAGTTTTCAAGTATTTTCTCCCACTCCATAGTTTGTCTCTTCACTTTGTTGACTGTTTGCTGTGTAGAAGCATTTTAATTTGATGTCTTCCCATTTGTCAGTTTTTGCTTTGATTGCTGGGAAGCGTTGTGGGAAGGGGTGGAAGAATAGTAGTTGGTTAATGGGCACAAATACATTGTTAGGTAGAAGAAATAAGATCTAGAGTTTGATAGCACCATAGGGTGACTACAGTTAACAATGATTTATTGTGTACTTGGAAATAGCCAGAAGAGAAGATCTGGAATGTTCTCAACACAAAGAAATGATAAATGTTTGAGGTGATGGATATTTCAATTACCCAGATTTTATCATTATACATTGTATTCTTGTATCAAAATATCACATGTACCTAATACATGTGTATAACTATTATGCTTCTATTAAATGAAAACTAAAAAATCAAAAGTTGAAAAGGAGGCTAGAGGAAAGTTTGTTGCATTAAGAAAATCAGGAAATATATTGGCCAATGGAAGTGAAAATATATTATTAGTCAATATAATACTAATATTTTTTTTTAAAGAGAGAAATGTCTTCTAAGAATAGCTAGCCCTGTACTTCTTCCTTGCTTCCTGAGAAGTGTTAGAATATAATAAAAAAATAAAAAGGTAAAATCATAACTGTCATACAAATATAAAAAGAGCACAAATATCATTAATAAGGAAACAAATACAATGTTGCAAATGATTCAACGGAAAATTTAAAAAGCACACCTCAGAAATGTTAAAATAAATTTACAAATTGTTGCAAAACCATTATATATAAAAGTTGATAAGTGCATTCCACTGGACACAATTCATTTGCATTTCTGTGGACAAAAATCATGTGTAATATTTTCAGTGTTTTATAATTTACAAAATTATAAAGTAGCTGAAAGACAATGAAAGCTAAAAGGGTACAGTAGACAGGAAATGCAGTATTCTTTTTTGCTCATTTCAAAGTTTATAATTATCCTTGATAGAGGTTGTTGTGTGATAATGTGAAGTGCTGTGCTCCTGCAGTTACTATGTGACCAAAATAGGTGACATTGCCTACTGGCTAAAGAAAAACGAAAGGATGGGATGAGCCAGGCTTCCTGCTAAGAAATGTATTAAATGTCTGCATTACTTATTATTAGGTGATTTTTCTGCTACTTCAGCTGATGAAGAGTACTGTTTGTTTGTTTGTTTGTTTATTTATTTATTTATTTAAGACAGAGTCTCGCTCTGTCTCCAGGCTGGAGTGCAGTGGTGCGATCTCAGCTCACTGCAACCTCTGCCTCCTGGGTTCAAGCGATTCTCCTGCCTCAGCCTCCCAAGTAGCTGGGATTACAGGCACCCACCACCACATCTAGCTAATTTATGTATTTTTAGGAGAGACGCGGTTTCACCATGTTGGCCAGGCTGGTCCTGAACTCCTGATCTCGTGATCCACCTGCCTCTGCCTCCCAACATGCTGGGATTACAGGCGTGAGCCACCGCGCCTGGCCCAGTACTGTTTTATTTTTAGTGATACATGTAAACAGAGTGAAGAGAAGATGCTCCACACCTCTTGGGGAATACAGTGTTACTTCAGTGTTTGGAGGCCTGTGGGTGGCACTTCAACAGATTTTGGATTTGTGAGCTTGAGAAACAGCACTCTTAGGGCTAATATAGCTCAGTCCTGATGCACAACGAATAAGCAGGAATGTGAGGCACTTTTAAGAGGCTTCAAAGGAGGAGATATCAACAAGGGATCACAGAGCAGAGCAAAATCCACATTGCATGTTTTTAGAATGGACTATTTAAGAACACATGTGATCTATTCTGAAGAACTTCCAGGAATCACAATGAAATTTAGAAGAGGACTGGATGTCCTGCTTTGGCAGGCAAAGCCTAGAGCTATCAAAATATAAGACCTAAGAAAATCCAGGTTGTACAATTATTTTCAATCAAGATTTATTTCTTATATCATTAACAAAAGTTAAGATAATCTCCTGTTGGAATTTTTTTTTCTTTTTTGATATTTGAAATTTTTTAATAAATATTTTTTATAATATTTATATTTAAAATTCCCATTTTAGAAATGACAAATCGAAGCTCAGAAAATAGGATTGTCAGTCTCTAAATTCCTTCTAGATATGACATTCTCCATTTATGCAGTTCTACCCAGGTATAAATGCATTATCCTCATATCTGCACCACCCGTGGGAGGACTGAGACATCACAAACAGCAAGAGAGAAGACTTGACAGTTTAGCTTAGATTCATCTTGGCAAAGCAAGCCCACATTTGAACACAACTTTAGAATTGAACTGAGACTTTCTTTTCCCCAAATACTCATTGAAATATCTAATCAGCAAAATAAACGGGTTTTACCAAATGTTCAGAGATTACAAATTGTATTTAGCACTCATCAACAAATTAAAACATTTCTGTGGGATCTCTCTCTCAGCACCTTTACCAAAGATATATTCTTGCATTGAGATTTTTCTGATACTGTGCATTCATTATGTGTTTTTCAACTTAGAAGTTAATTTCAGGGGGTTGATGTTGAGGTCATTATTTATAATATGGTGACTCAAATTCCCATGGAGGCAGCTGTAAGAAATTTGGCTAAAGGTAGACTAGCACAGGTTAAAACTGTTAAAATCCAATTTTTTCATTTGAAATTAAAAAAGCAATGTCCCATCCATACCTAATCTAGTTGTCAAATATGCACATATATGGAGATGTACAGGTAAGACATAATATACAATTCAGTTCAATTCATAAATGTATTCAGAGATTTCTAAAAAAGAAAGATGTTATCCTAATGTCTGTAGGGACTGCTGAGGCTGAGGTAGACATTCTTTAGGCTCCTAAGAAATATATAATGTGGAGGTTGTATGTGTGTGAGAGAGGTGTAGAAAATATAGTTATACAAAATTATGTTATTAGATAGAGATGAATAAATGTCATCAAAGAAACAGGCTCTCTTGAAATGGATAAACCAGAAAATTTATAAACAACTGAGGAAATCCAAAAGACTTCATGGAGTATTTATTACTGTGATGAAGTCCTAAATCATTTGTAATATTTGAATCATCAGAAATTTTGGAAAAACACAGTACTGTAATTCTTAATAGTATTAGCTAAGGCATAAATACAAGAATGTGTGGACAAGTTCAGGGGAAGCATTTAGATCAATTTGAACGTCACCTGGAAAATAAGTTGGGACCATAATGTTGATTATTATGGTGAGTGACATGAGATATATTCAGACTACACATGGGAACCAATGGAGAGCTTTGGCACCATATGATCTGCACCTGAGAAAGATGATTCTGGCTATGGTGTAATTCTGTTAGATGAGATGGAAATACAAGGAGATTAACTGAGAAATGTTTTTACAAATATCATTTCATTGACACTAGAATTTATCACCATCAGTGTTTCTCTTGTTCCTACATAGTTTCACATCTTCCTAGATTGCTCATAATAAGGAAAATAAATGAATATTAAGTATTAGGCATTTGCTAATAAGAAATTAAAATAAATTTGACTATAGCCATTTCTATGACTTGGTGAATTCTTAAGTAGTCATAAAATATAGTGTTTTATGTTTCTAATCTGATAGAACCATTAGCATTCAGAAAACACAGTAGTAAAATTTTTGAAATAGATTTGGTAGCTCATGAACTAGAAGAGATATATTTATAATTAGGATTTTCTAGACACTGATCAATAGCCTTGAAATCTTTTCATCATTTGTCACCAAATACTCTTAAAATCATCTTAGATATAATTATGATTTCAAAATGGATCAGAAAAAACATAAAACAGTTGTCCCTCCTGTCAAATATTTCAAATTATGGTAAAAAATCTTAAGGAAATACATAATCATGCTCAGAAATAGAAGGGAAAATTTCAAGGCAAAAGAAGCTGTGAGATAGCCCTGGCCCTGGGTGATTAAATAACGATGGGACTGGACTGAAGAAGAAATGGCAATTCATAAGCATGAGGGTGTCTTTCAGGAGTTTCATTTTTAAAAGTTGACAGTAGTGTAATCTAATAAAAAGAAAAATTATTCCAAGTGGATAGAGAGATATATAGAAAGTGGTAGTAAAAATACAGATTAGTACATTTTACCAACTTAATAAAGCATTACTTGTTTAGAAAAAGGATTTCTTCTTGCCATCTAAGACAAAAAAAATTATTGTGTGAACATGGGTGGGGAGGTGGAGACTAAGATAGAAGTATAGCGATATTGATTAAAACAAATTTTATTGGAAAATATTAACTTCAGTACAAGTGCAACGTTAAAATGCTTGCAAGAATAGAAATCAAGCAATGTTTAAACCAATATAGAAGAATAGAATAAAAGAAATTTAATACATCTAAGCAAAGGCAGAAAAATGGACAAAGATAGAGAAGGCATGGTAAATGAAAAGACTAAGAAAAAAAAGAATGAGTCCAAAAATATTAGTAATTATAATAACTGTGACTAGGCTAAATGAATCTACTAAAATTTTCAGAGTAATAAAGCAAACCAAATTTTGCCACTTTCTGTTTACAAAAGACACTGTTCAAATAATAAAAAAAAACCATGTAAATACTCATATAGCTCTCACCACATGCCAGGTACAATTCCAGAAAGTAGACATTATTATTTCTGTTATAGACAAGGTAACTGGAGCACAGAGAGGTTAGTCACCTTGCTCTAACTCACACAGGTAGTAAGTAGCAGAGCCAGGATTAGAGCCAAGTTAGTTTGGCTTTAGAATCTTGTCTTTAATTTATTTACAACATAAATTGGTAAAAATGGTAAAAAGTAAGCTTATGCAGTAATATTATCACAGAAGATAAAATTTAAGGCAAAAACCTCAATAAAGGACAAAGGAAAATATTTTTTCAGTTATAAATGTAATTCACTAGTAACATATAAATCATGAAGCAAGTATGCATATTGCAATATTGCTTTAAAATGTACAAAGACAAACTAATACAACCTCAAAGGGAATAGTCAGTCCCACAATCAATATGTAAGAGTTTAATACATTTCTTTTAAAAACTGAGATATCAGATAGAAATAGAAAATAAGGTATTCTGAACTGGATGTGGACTAGGCTATATTGCATATGTTAGAGTTCATTACTCTCAAAATATCTGCTGCCTTCCTTACCAGTTCTTTCCTACTAGGCCCATCCTAATAGAACTATAATCCTTCTATCCCATTGACATCAAGCTTGGCTATTTGATGTGCTCTTTGGCCAAAGCAACAGAGTGGATGTGGCACATGCTGCTGCTTCTGGGCGCAAGTTTTAAGAGCCATTGTGCATACCACCAGCTCTGTTTTTCCCTATGCCGTGGGATCAGCAATGTCTCAGAGGGACTGCTCCTTCCTCCTGGGTCCAAGATGAAAATCCAAGGCCAAATCCATAGGCTAACCCACATAAGTAAGAGATGAGCCATTGCTGCTAAAGACCACCACAATTTTGGGGCTACTTGTTATAATGGCATACACTGATATTATCATACCAAGGTAATTGATGATACATTGCACTAGCAAATAATCCCCAAATTTCAGAGCTTAAAAAATGATTTTTTTTCTCATTCATGCTATGTGTTCCAATGTCTCAGCAGGGAGCTCTGCTCTGCACAGTTAATACCTGGGGAATCAGGCTGAGAGAGGCTCCACCATTTAGTTGTTGTTGTTGTTGTTATTTTAAGAGATAGTGTCTCACTTTGTGTCCCAGGCTGGAGGGCAGTGGTGTGATCATAGCTCACTGCTATCATGAACTCCTGGGCTCAAGTGATCCTCCTGCTTTGGTTTCCCAAATTGCTAGGATTACAGGCATGATCACCACACCTTGCCCTCCACCATCTTTGGATGCTACAGTCTCAAAGTGGGGCCCCAGGGACCACAGAAACAGCGGAAGACAGCACAGAGAATTGGGCACTAGCCATTTTGTTACCATGAAGAGGAACACATGTCACTTCCACTCACATTTTATTCTCACAAGCAAGTAACTTGGTTATGGCTGAGTTTAAGGGGGTAGGGAAATAAAATCTTCTAGTGTGTCAAGGAGTGGAGACTCGGAAATATTGATGAGAATATCAATACCAATGCATTGCTCACCAAACTCAACAAGCAGAGAATACATATTTTCAAATACACATGAAACATTTGAGAAATTTGAGCACATAGCATGAAGAAAAAGAACCTCAACAAATTCCAAAATATTGATATCATATAAACCAAACACCAGACATGTCTGATGAAATATAATTAGAAATCACCCCACAAAAGATATCTTAAAAATATATTTTAAAACACTGTTTTGTATAGTTAAAAAATTGAAGAGTAAAGTGAAGATGAACATTAAATACTTAGAAAAGTGAACAAAGGATATAATACACATAAAATATGTAGAATAGAAACAAAGATGAAAATTAACAAATACCTAGAAAAGTAAACAAGGGATGCAATATACATTAAATTTATAGAATACAAACAATGCAATACTCAGGAAAAACTGTGCCATATTAAATCAGTTTTTAAATAATGGGAAAATAAATGATAATCTTTTAATTTAAAAAATATATTAAAATAAACTAAAAGAAGAAAATTATAAAGAAAAATTGAAAATTAAGCAAATGGACATAAAATAAGAGTATATAAACAGAATCAACTTTTTAAAAGATTAATAAATTCTTGAGAAGTATGCTGAAGGAAAACAAAAATAAAAGCACATGTAAACAGTAGCAAAAATGGAAATGTGATTTAAGAAGAGGCAGCAGGCTGGGCACAGTGACTCATGTCTGTAATCTCAGCACTTTGGGAGGCCAAGGCAGGAGGATCGCTTAAGGCCAGGATTTTCAGAACAGCCTGGGCAACACAGCAAGGCCCTATCTCTATTTATTTTTATGGTATAATCAATCTTTTTATTCTCCTTGGATCATTTCTTTAAGATGAATGTATGTGATACTCAAAGATTTACCACTCGAAACACACCACTCATAATTTATAGATGAATTCTGTAAAATGACATCAAAAAAGAAGGAATAGATGATTCAATATTTTTACAGTTCTTCTAGAAAATTTAAAAAGATGTATAAAAAGATAAATTGCTACCCAACTCACTTTACAAGCTAGCATAACCTTGATATGGAAACAAAAATAAAAATTAAAATATAGGACAAAATAGCTTAAAATGTGTTGCAGACAACATAATCATCTGCCTTGAAACTTCAACAGAATCAATTGAAAAAAAAACTATATTGGAACTAAGACATGGCCTGATGCATAATCAGTACATAAAAGCCATTACCTTTGCATACTCCTGAAAGAACACATTCAAAATTGTAGCAAGGAAAAAAAAGATTCTATTTACTGAAGCTACAAAAATGTCAAAATATCTTGAAATTAACTTAACAAAAATGTATTAGGCCTTTATTCCTTATGGAGACAATATTAAATTTATTGAAGGAATTAAGAGATCTTAATAAAAGGAAAAAAGTCAGAGTTCAATATTCAATATTATGATAGAAGCAGCACTTCAAATTAGTGGGGAGACAAATTATTCAATAAATGTTCCTAGGAAAATGTAAAATCTTATAAAAAGTAAATCCTCACATCACACCTTCAAAACAATAAATTCCACAGGGAATAAAGACACAAACACACACACAAAACAAATCCTTTAAACCCTCTGAAAGAAAATATTAAAAACAAGTCATAGAAAGCAAGAAACATAAAAAATAAAAAATGGTAATATTTTTATTCCGAGGAAGATTTACTTTTTTATTTTATTTTCTTATTATTATACTTTAAGTTCTAGGGTACCTGTGCACAACGTGCAGGTTTGCTACACATGTATACATGTCCCATGTTGGTGTGCTGCACCCATTAACTCGTCATTTAACATTAGGTATAACTCCTAATGCTATCCCTCCCCCCTCCCCCCACCACACAACAGTCCGTGGTGTGTGATGTTCCCCTTCCTGGGTGCATGTGTTCTCATTGTTCAATTCCTACCTATGAGTGAGAACATGTGGTGTTTGGTTTTATGTCCTTGCGATAGTTTGCTGAGAATGATGGTTTCCAATTTCATCCATGTCCCTACAAAGGACATGAACTCATCATTTTTTATGGCTGCATAGTATTCCATGGTGTATATGTGCCACATTTTCTTTTTTTTTTTTTTGTCTTTTTTTTTTATTATACTTTAAGTTTTAGGGTACATGTGCACATTGTGCAGGTTAGTTACATGTGTATACATGTGCCATGCTGGTGAGCTGCACCCACTAACTCGTCATCTAGCATTAGGTATATCTCCCGATGCTATCCCTCCCCCCTCCCCCCACCCCACAACAGTCCCCAGAGTGTGATATTCCCCTTCCTGTGTCCATGTGATCTCATTGTTCAATTCCCACCTATGAGTGAGAATATGCGGTGTTTGGTTTTTTGTTCTTGCGATAGTTTGCTGAGAATGATAGTTTCCAGCTTCATCCATGTCCCTACAAAGGACATGAACTCATCATTTTTTATGGCTGCATAGTATTCCATGGTGTATATGTGCCACATTTTCTTAATCCAGTCTATCATTGTTGGACATTTGGGTTGGTTCCAAGTCTTTGCTATTGTGAATAATGCCGCAATAAACATACGTGTGCATGTGTCTTTATAGCAGCATGATTAATAGTCCTTTGGGTATATACCCAGTAATGGGATGGCTGGGTCAAATGGTATTTCTAGTTCTAGATCCCTGAGGAAACGCCACACTGACTTCCACCATGGTTGAACTAGTTTACAGTCCCACCAACAGTGTAAAAGTGTTCCTATTTCTCCACATCCTCTCCAGCACCTGTTGTTTCCTGACTTTTTAATGATTGCCATTCTAACTGGTGTGAGATGGTATCTCATAGTGGTTTTGATTTGCGTTTCTCCGATGGCCAGTGATGATGAGCATTTTTTCATGTGTTTTTTGGCTGCATAAATGTCTTCTTTTGAGAAGTGTCTGTTCATGTCCTTCGCCCACTTTTTGATGGGGTTGTTTGTTTTTTTCTTGTAAATTTGTTTGAGTTCATTGTAGATTCTGGATATTAGCCCTTTGTCAGATGAGTAGGTTGCAAAAATTTTCTCCCATTTTGTAGGTTGCCTGTTCACTCTGATGGTAGTTTCTTTTGCTGTGAAGAAGCTCTTTAGTTTAATTAGATCCCATTTGTCAATTTTGCCTTTTGTTGCCATTGCTTTTGGTGTTTTAGACATGAAGTCCTTCCCCATGCCTATGTCCTGAATGGTAATGCCTAGGTTTTCTTCTAGGGTTTTTATGGTTTTAGGTCTAACGTTTAAGTCTTTAATCCATCTTGAATTGATTTTTGTATAAGGTGTAAGGAAGGGATCCAGTTTCAGCTTTTTACATATGGCTCGCCAGTTTTCCCAGCACCATTTATTAAATAGGGAATCCTTTCCCCATTGCTTGTTTTTCTCAGGTTTGTCAAAGATCAGATAGTTGTAGATATGCGGCGTTATTTCTGAGGGCTCTGTTCTGTTCCATTGATCTATATCTCTGTTTTGGTACCAGTACCATGCTGTTTTGGTTACTGTAGCCTTGTAGTATAGTTTGAAGTCAGGTAGTGTGATGCCTCCAGCTTTGTTCTTTTGGCTTAGGATTGATTTGGCGATGCAGGCTCTTTTTTGGTTCCATATGAACTTTAAAGTAGTTTTTTCCAATTCTGTGAAGAAAGGCATTGGTAGCTTGATGGGGATGGCATTGAATCTGTAAATTACCTTGGGCAGTATGGCCATTTTCACGATATTGATTCTTCCTACGCATGAGCATGGAATGTTCTTCCATTTGTTTGTATCCTTTTATTTCCTTGAGCAGTGGTTTGTAGTTCTCCTTGAAGAGGTCCTTCACATCTCTTGTAAGTTGGATTCCTAGGTATTTTATTCTCTTTGAAGCAATTGTGAATGGGAGTTCACTCAAGATTTGGCTCTCTGTCTGTCTGTTATTGGTGTATAAGAATGCTTGTGATTTTTGCACATTGATTTTGCATCATGAGACTTTGCTGAAGTTGCTTATCAGCTTGAGGAGATTTTGGGCTGAGACGATGGGGTTTTCTAGATATACAATCATGTCAACTGCAAACAGGGACAATTTGACTTCCTCTTTTCCTAATTGAATACCCTTTATTTCCTTCTCCTGCCTGATTGCCCTGGCCAGAACTTCCAACACTATGTTGAATAGGAGCGGTGAGAGAGGGCATCCCTGTCTTGTGCCAGTTTTCAAAGGGAATGCTTCCAGTTTTTGCCCATTCAGTATGATATTGGCTGTGGGTTTCTCATAGATAGCTCTTATTGTTTTGAGATACGTCCCATCAATACCTAATTTATTGAGAGTTTTTAGCATGAAGTGTTATTGAATTTTGTCAAAGGACTTTTCTGTGTCTATTGAGATAATCATGTGGTTTTTGTCTTTGGTTCTGTTTATATGTTGGATTACATTTATTGATTTGCGTATGTTGAACCAGCCTTGCATCCCAGGGATGAAGCCCACTTGATCACGGTGGATAAGATTTTGATGTGCTGCTGGATTCGGTTTGCCAGTATTTTATTGAGGATTTTTGCATCGATGTTCATCAAGTATATTGGTCTAAAATTCTCTTTTTTGGTTGTGTCTCTGCCAGGCTTTGGTATCAGGATGATGCTGGCCTCATAAAATGAGTTAGGGAGGATTCCCTCTTTTTCTATTGATTGGAATAGTTTCAGAAGGAATGGTACCAGCTCCTCTTTGTACCTCTTGTAAAATTCGGCTGTGAATCCATCTGGTCCTGGACTTTTTTTGGTTGGTAAGCTACTGATTATTGCCACAATTTCAGAGCCTGTTATTGGTCTATTCAGAGATTCAACTTCTTCCTGGTTTAGTCTTGGGATGATGTATGTGTTGAGGAATTCATCCATTTCTTCTAGATTTTCTAGTTTATTTGCGTAAAACTGTTTATAGTATTCTCTGATGGTAGTTTGTATTTCTGTGGGATCGGTGGTGATATCCCCTTTATCATTTTTTATTGCGTCTATTTGATTCTTCTTTCTTTTCTTCTTTATTAGTCTTGCTAGCTGTCTATCGATTTTGTTGATCTTTTCAAAAGACCAGCTCCTGGATTCATTAATTTTTTGAAGGTTTTTTTGTGTCTCTATTTCCTTCAGTTCTGCTCTGATCTCAGTTATTTCTTGCCTTCTGCTAGCTTTTGAATGTGTTTGCTCTGGCTTTTCTAGCTCTTTTAATTGTGATGTTAGGTTGTCAATTTTAGATCTTTCCTGCTTTCTCCTGTGGAAATTTAGTGCTATAAATTTCCCTATACACACTGCTTTGAATGTGTCCCAGAGATTCTGGTATGATGTGTCTTTGTTCTCGTTGGTTTCAAAGAACATCTTTATTTCTGCCTTCATTTCATTATTTACCCAGTAGTCATTCAGGAGCAGGTTGTTCAGTTTCCATGTAGTTGAGTGGTTTTGAGTGAGATTCTTAATCTTGAGTTCTAGTTTGATTGCACTGTGGTCTGAGAGACAGTTTGTTATAATTTCTGTTCTTTTACATTTGCTGAGGAGTGCTTTACTCCCAACTATGTGGTCAATTTTGGAGTAGGTGTGGTGTGGTGCTGAAAAGAATGTATATTCTGTTGATTTGGAGTGGAGAGTTCTGTAGATGTCTATTAGGTCCGCTTGGTGCAGAGCTGAGTTCAATTCCTGGGTATCCTTGCTAACTTTCTGTCTCGTTGTTCTGTCTAATGTTGACAGTGGGGTGTTAAAGTCTCCCATTATTATTGTGTGGGAGTCTAAGTCTCTTTGTAGGTCACTAAGGACTTGATTTATGAATCTGGGTGCTCCTGTATTGGGTGCATATATATTTAGGATAGTTAGCTCTTCTTGTTGAATTGATCCCTTTACCATTATGTAATGGCCTTCTTTGTCTCTTTTGATCTTTGTTTGTTGAAAGTCTGTTTTATCCGAGACTAGGATTGCAACCCCTGCCTTTTTTTGTTTTCCATTTGCTTGGTAGATCTTCCTCCAGCCCTTTATTTTGAGCCTATGTGTGTCTCTGCACGTGAGATGGGTTTCCTGAATACAGCACACTGATGGGTCTTGACTCTTTATCCAATTTGCCAGTCTGTGTCTTTTAATTGGAGCATTTAGTCCATTTACATTTAAAGTTAAGATTGTTATGTGTGAATTTGATCCTGTCATTATGATGTTAGCTGGTGATTTTGCTCGTTAGTTGATGCAATTTCTTCCTAGCCTTGATGGTCTTTATAATTTGGCATGTTTTTGCAGTGGCTGGTACCGGTTGTTCCTTTCTATGTTTAGCGCTTCCTTCAGGAGCTCTTTTAGGGCAGGCCTGGTGGTGACAAAATCTCTCAGCATTGGCTTGTCTGTAAAGTATTTTATTTCTCCTTCACTTATGAAGCTGAGTTTGGCTGGATATGAAATTCTGGGTTGAAAATTCTTTTCTTTAAGAATGTTGAATATTGGTTCCTACTCTCTTCTGGCTTGTAGAGTTTCTGCTGAGAGATCTGCTGTTAGTCTGATGGGCTTCCCTTTGTGGGTAACCCGACCTTTCTCTCTGGCTGCCCTTAACACTTTTTCCTTCATTTCAACTTTGGTGAATCTGACAATTATGTGTCTTGGAGTTGCTGTTCTCGAGGAGTATCTTTGTGGCGTTCTCTGTATTTCCTGAATTTGAATGTTGGCCTGCCTTGCTAGATTGGGGAAGTTCTCCTGGATAATATCCTGCAGGGTGTTTTCTGACTTGGTTCCATTCTCCCCGTCACTTTCAGGTACACCAATCAGATGTAGATTTGGTCTTTTCACATAGTCCCATATGTCTTGGAGGCTTTGATTGTTTCTTTTTATACTTTTTTCTCTAAACTTCTCTTCATGCTTCATTTCATTCATTTCATCTTCCATCACTGATACCCTTTCTTCCAGTTGATCACATCGGCTACTGTGGCTTCTGCATTCGTCACGTAGTTCTCATGCCTTGATTTTCAGCTCCATCAGGTCCTTTAAGGACTTCTCTGCATTGGTTATTCTAGTTATCCATTCTTCTAATTTTTTTTCAAAGCTTTTAACTTCTTTGCCATTGGTTTGAATTTCCTCCTGTAGCTCGGAGTAGTTTGATCATCTGAAGCCTTCTTGTCTCAACTCGTCAAAGTCACTCTCCGTCCAGCTTTGTTCTGTTGCTGGTGAGGCGCTGTGTTCCTTTGGAGGAGGAGAGGTGCTCTGATTTTTAGAGTTTCCAGTTTTCTGCTCTGTATTTTTCCCATCTTTGTCGTTTTATCTACCTTTGGTCTTTGATGATGGTGACGTACAGATGGGTTATTGGTGTGGATGTCCTTTCTGTTTGTTAGTTTTCCTTCTAACAGACAGGACCCTCAGCTGCAGGTCTGTTGGAGTTTGCTAGAGGTCCACTCCAGACTCTGTTTGCCCGGGTATCTGCAGTGGTGGTTGCAGAACAGTGGCTATTGGTGAACAGCAGATGCTGCTGCCTGATAGTTCCTCTGGAAGTTTTGTCTCAGAGGAGTACCCGGCCATGTGAGGTGTCAGTCCGCCCCTACTGGGGGGTGCCTCCCAGTTAGGCTACTCGGGGGTCAGGGACCCACTTAAGGAGGCAGTCTGCCCGATCTCAGATCTCAAGCTGCGTGCTGGGAGAACCACTGCTCTCTTCAAAGCTGTCAGAGAGGGACATTTAAGTCTGCAGAGGTTACTGCTGTCTTTTTATTTGTGCCCTGCCCCCAGAGGTGGAGCCTACAGAGGCAGGCAGGCCTCCTTGAGCTGTGGTGGGCTCCACCCAGTTGGAGCTTCCCGGCCGCTTTGTTTTCCTAATCAAACAACTAACTTGGCAATGGTGGGCGCCCCTCCCCCAGCCTCGCTGCCGCCTTGCAGTTTGATCTCGGACTGCTGTGCTTGCAATGAGTGAGACTCCGTGGGTGTAGGACCCTCGGAGCCAGGTGCAGGATATAATCTCCTGGTGTGCCATTTTTTAAGCCCGTTGGAAAAGCACAGTATTAGGGTGGGAGTGACCTGATTTTCCAGGTGCTGTCTGTCACCACTTTCTTTGACTAGGAAAGGGAATTCCCTGACCCCTTGTGCTTCCCGGGTGAGGCGATGCCTCGCCCTCCTTCAGCTCACGCACCATGCACTGCACCCACTGTCCTGCACCTACTGTCTGGCACTCCCCAGTGAGATGAACCTGGTACCTCACTTGGAAATGCAGAAATCAGCCCTCGTCTGCGTCGCTCACGCTGGGAGCTTTAGATCGGAGCTGTTTCTATTTGGCCATCTTGGCTCCTCCGCCTGGAGGAGGATTTACTTTAGGGCTGATGATGTTTAAGATTTAACAACACCCTTCAGGGGCCACTAGGTCCTTAAATGTTGCCCAGGAGTCAGATATTTATGTGAGATGGTTACAATCAACACTGGGCAAATCCAGTCCACTGTTTTTCTAAATAAAGTTTTATTAGAACACAACACACTTATTCATTTTCATATTATCTGTGATGCTTTGGTGCTACAATGACAGAGTTGAATAGCTCTTACAAAGGACTTAGTTTCCCCAAATTTAAAATACTTACTATCTGGCCCTTTACAGAAAATGTTTGTGAACCCCTCATTTACATCCCCTCTCCTTCCACTCAAACTTTCCTTTTGTCATATTTGCTTCCCTATCAGGAGGTACTGGATTGGGCAGAACACTTTTTGGGGTTTGGCTAAAGTAGTGTTGAGAGGAGGATGTAGTTAGGAGTTAGGTTAGAGTTAATTGGCATTTATTTAGAGGATTTGCAATAACTTGTGTGCATGGAAACAAAGCATTATGGAAATTACAGAGCCAGAGCTAGCTTATGGAAAATTATTGCATGTATCAGAGACATAAAATTTACAGAGGATTTGGTTTTCACTAATGCACCAAAGCCTAGTCAAAATAGAAGTTCTCTCCTGTTGGAAATATACTTATTAATGCAGCACATACAATTATAAACTCACCGTGCTTTTTTTTCCCTCCTTAGGAATTGGATAAAATGAAATTTATCAGGATTCCTATGCTTATAGAGTCCAAGTTCATAACAGTTCTCTAAACAGTGAGTTTTTTTGTGACTAAAATCTCTGGTTTTATGAATGTCAACTTTCTGTAATATAATACAAATTTTAACTAATAAAGCTACAGAAAAGACTAAATTATCTTTCTATCTTCTTGCTGCAAAATGTTATAAAATATTTGATATATGAAAAAATCAATGATTTTATATTTTTATTTATAATCTATTTTATATTTTTAGTTTTTTCCTCATTAAAAATTTTACATTTTACCTAAAATTCCTTTTATAGTTATGTATTTTCTCCTAAAGACAGCCCTGGAAATTGCATAACATTTATGCTCTTACAAATCCTGGTTCTAACCTTCTATGTGGCAAAAAAATTATTCTATAAACTAGGTTAAAAGACAAATGGTAAACTTTGAAAACATATTTGCACATGCACAGCAGGTTTAGTATTAAAGTATCCAGACTAACTTATAAAAACAAAACAAACAGATTTTTAAAAAACCCTCCAAATGATTAGATTTAAAAATTATTTCTTAACTTTTATCATCATAGGCAGGAAAAAAACAACAACAACAACAACAGGGAAACCTTACCCAAACTGGCTTAAACATAAGAAGTTCAACATACATTGACTTCCAATATACTTTTATTGGACTCTGGCTATTATTACTTTCATTTCCTGCAATTTCCAACACTCAAGTTTGCTTTCTTCGTGGGTTCAAATGATTGCCAAGATTACCTGGCATTACATGAATCCTTATTAACCTCTCATCACATAAATATTCTGAACTTTGCACTGACTGGGACATCCATGAATCAATTATTCCTGTGCATAGGACACTGACAGGTAGTCGTCGGTTTAAATCTGTGTTACTTGGACTAATTACTGTAGGAAGGAGGATGGGACTACCCTAATTGGCTTATGCTAATCACCTTGAATAGGTGTTTTACTGGGTATTGTGGAGACCATAAAAACAAATGAGATAATTGACAAAGGATATAGACAGATAATTCACCAGAAAGAAACACAGTCTGTAAACCTCAACAGAAAGCTTGGAGATAGGCACATAGTGGTTTATAATACTATTCTGTTCAGTTTTGGAAATATTAAAACATTTCCACAATGAAACATTATTTTAAAATTTCCCACTATGCTTGTGAATTTGTCTACTTTTTAGTCAATTTTTGCTTTATGTATTTTGAAGCTATGGTATTAAATACATACAAATTTAGATCTGTAATGTCCTTATGATGAATTGAGCCTTTTATTATATTATGACTTGCTTTTCTCTAGTAATGGTTTTGGGCTTGAAGTTTATTTTATCAAACATTAATGTAATTTCACAACACTTTTTTTTTGGCCAGAATTTTTCTGGTATTTCTTTTCCATCATTTGACTTAATTCTTCTGTGTCTATATGTTTTAATTCTCTTATAAACAACACAGAATTGTATTACTTTCAGATAGTTAAATAATCTTCATCTTTTATCTTTCAAATTTAATTCATTTACAATTATTGTTGAAACAAAGAGAAAAGCAGTCCCTCATACCCACAAGGTGACCTGGCAATAAGAGCTAAGCCTGGATGTTTCTAGGAGCTGTCTAGGCACTCAAAACTGGGTTGTGGTGTTATTCTGTTGAACATGAACCATTTTGCAGAGCATTAACATCAGACAAGGCCTCTCTGTGAGCATGACACAAACAAGAATTTTCCATAAGTGTATCTCAGCAGGAACAAAAACATTGTCCAAACAGAAAAATGGTCAAAAAGTCCTCTTGTCTGATTAAACTAGTAACTGTTGCTTCTGTACTAATTATGGATTTAGCTCTGCTTTATTTCTCCTACCTCTTAAATAAAATTCATTAAAATACTTATTTATAGAATTTCTCCTGTGTCCTAAACATGTGTCATCTGAAGCAAACCAATATTTAAGTCTTCTCTCACATCTCACATGACTAAGCTTTATATTAATAAAAGTTCCTTCTAAAATCTACTTTCTGAGATGTCCTATGGCTTCCTGGTATGCTGTCTTCCATGTGACAATGAGCCAATAAACCCAACATTCTTTGACTATTGGTGTGTCCCTGGTGGTCTTTGACAGATGGGCATCAATACCATAATTGCTGATATATTTCAATTTATTTCTACTAATCTTATTAAGCAGTTTCTATTTCTCCTGTCTTCTATACTCCTTTCCCTATTTTATTGTCTTTTGGATTTCTTTTCTCCTTCTCATTCAATTTTCTCTTCATTTCTAGTCATTCTATATCAATTATTTAATGTTTTCCCTATTTTAATGTTCATATTTAACATACAGGCGATTACTGTCCAGTCTTATATTTATAGCCACTTTTCCTCCCACAAAATACACATTGCTGTTATTGTGCAATCCATATTTGTTTTAAGTTGTGTCTAAATGTCTGTCATTACCTTTGCCCATCATTCAGTTATTCAGTATGACCTTCCCTCTGGGTTCATCTGTTTAAAGTATACCCTTTAAATTGTTTATACAAAATGTCTTTGGTAACAATATTTTCATATGTTTTAATCTATTATTTCACGCTTAATCTTGAAAGATGTTTTACTTGGTAAAAATTTCAAAGTTAACTTGCATATCTTTCAACACATTGAAGATACTCTTGGACTGTTTTCCAGCATCCTTTCTTGTTAGTAAAAATTCAGGCTAAGAATGAATTGTCAGTTATTTGTAGATGATTGGCTTTTTCTCTCTGGCTGTTTTTTAAGGCTATCTGTTCTTCTTTGGTGTTCTACAGTTTCACTTTGATGTGTTAAGGTATGAATTTCTTTTTATTCATCTTGTTTGGAATATATAGGACTTCCTAGATCTAAGTGCTGGTGTCTTTCAACATATCTGGAAAATTTCAGCCCCTTTGTCTTTGAATATTTCTTCTTCTCCATTCTATTATCCTCCTGTAAATTATGATGAAGTGTATTTTAGATGTTCTGATGCTTTCTCCTTGTCTTTCACCCTCCTTTTATATTTTCAATCTATTGATTGTGTTCCGAATAACTACCTCAGATGTTTTTTACAGGACATTTTGTCTTCAGCTGCATCAAATCTGCTGTTTAAACTATCCACTTAGGTTTAAGATACAATTATATTCTCCAATTATAGCAGTTTTATTTTTTCACATCTGCTTGTTCTCGAATTTCAAGCTCCTTTGCTATTCAAGCTCCCTTTAAAGATATTAAATACAGTTATTTTGAATGTTGTGTCTAAAGCTAACATCTGAACTATTTGTCATTCTGTCTCTACTCTCCCTTATTTCTGCCGGTTCCCATCATGCTGTCTTTTGCCCTGAGCTGTTTCATGATTTTTGACTGTAAAATGTTCTTTTACTGGGAACTATATCTGTGGAATTCTTTGAAGCCTGAATTAAACTTGAATTCCTTCAGAGAGGATTTGCAATTGCTTCTACCAAACATATAGTTACTACCAACCTGAGACCACTTTAAACTAAATTCTGCATTTTAAGTTTTTCAAACCACAATGGTAACATAAATTTAGACTATAATCCTGCATGAGGCCCAGCATATAAATATGAATTCTCAGGGCTTTTTATTCCTCCCTATATATATCCAGCATCAGAGTCTAAATAGCCAGTTGACCTTGCTGTAGCCTTCTGCATAGGAGGTTTATTTTTCTTTTATGCTTAATTTGATAGTAGAGCTCTTGGCATTTCTAGTTTTATTCATGGATTTCCTATTGACTTCCCAACCCTCATTGAGACCAATGAAGTCATCAAAGGAAGCTTTACGATCTCTAGGGTTTTGATAGAAGCATTCGTATCAAAAGCCCACATTGTCACTGGCCTACCTCATATAGAGGTATTCATAGAACCCATAAGCATTCTATGGATTTCTTATTTTGTGCCAACTCAACAATATGTTGTAAATTTCATTTATCCATAAGTTTCATTTTTTTAAGGAGGCAGTTTTTCTCAGAAATTGTAATCTGTCATACTAGATGCTGCTAGATTTTGTCATTAGATTAAGTCTCTAAACTTAAATTTCCTCATTTAGTACTTAAAGGGGATATGATATCATTTGCTTGATACTACATCATAATATGTGTAAAATACTGCTACCCAGCATTATGCTTTTGTGGAGTATCATTTATCCCCCCAAAAGCAGTTGTAAACAAATTTTGATCCAATCTGACAACAGTTAGGAGCCAGGAGACAATGCAATTATATCTTCAAGAGGCTAAGAACGCTATCAAGTGAGGACTTGAGTGTAAGGACCAGGGGAAGCCTTACTGATGGGTACAGGATGGCATCTCCCAAACTATATTCTTTGACTGTTAGTGCCTTTCACAATATTAATTGGTATTCCTCCAAAAAATAAAAAATACATACCGTGTCCTATTGACAAAATGTTGGGAAAATTCTGCATGTACTTTTACCCTCTTGGGGAAATACATGAATATTAACATAGGGAACACTCTGAGAAGCCTTATAATAAGAGCACCTGATGAAAAATTTTTTAACCAAATATTTTTAACCACACCTTATCAAAGAACCTATTTTCTTAAAGAACACTGATGTCCAGAGATCACAGTTTGGGAAACAATGGTGTCAGGGAATATAGTTAATCCGTCTCCTCTTGGAGGATTCAAAATACAACTTTTCCATACAAAGAGGCATCTCGTGTGGAAAAATAAGGGTAATAGGGGAAGGAGTGCTGGGGTATGTGGGGAAGTTCTGTGGAGCAAGGGAGGCATTACTGTGGTGTACTATCAAGAGTTTAGGCCGGGTGTGGTGGCTCACATCTTTAATCTCAGCACTCTGGGAGGCCATGGGAGGAGAGTCACTTGGAGTCAGGAGTTTGAGACCAGCCTGGACAACATAGCAAGACCCTGTCTCTACAAAAATTAGAAAAAATAGCCAGGCGTAATAATAATCACAATGCCTGACTGCAGGGCTGCTAAGATCTTCTATTTAGATTAATCCATATAAAGCCAATTTATCAGAAAATATTTGTGTTCTGTTATGTAAGACTGTAAAAGCATGAGTTGAGGGAGAGAAGAAGGAATATAGCTGACAAGGGTCGACATCTCCTTCCATGCCATTACTTCTAGAAAGTGTAAGTCAATCTTGAGGGTTTTTTTTTTGAGTGTACATTGGATAGGAACCACTGAGAGGTAAAAGGATTAAGGAGAAGTTGCAGAAATTAGAGGAAACAAAAAAGCAAGCCATGAAGAAATGCTCAGGGTTTGAGGCAGATCCCAAGAGCAGAAAGGTCATTACTGCTCATCCTCACAGCACTAAAAAGCTCTTCACAGTGGAATGGTTCATAGATCACACAGGAAGAAAGACTAACACAGTAGCTATTATGCCAAATGTCTGTAAGCAACTACTGCGTTAGAAACTGTGTATATTCATGGTGACTGTTGTGGAACAAAGGCCAGGGAAGCCCGAAATAAGATCCTGTGTTCTAGAGTCTTTGAGATTCAAGAAAGTTTCAATCGTGGAAATTGAGAATAGTAAATTTCTGGCTACAAGAAAAATTTGTTTTTTAATATTATTGAGGCTTTTTATAGCCCCATATGTTATCGTGGAGTATAATTTATCCCCCCAAAAGCAGTTGTAAACAAATTTTGATCCAATCTGACAAAAGTTAGACAGGAGCCAGGAGACAATGCAATTATGTCTTCAAGAGGCTAAGAACCCTATCAAATTGCATTTCTCCCTGCCCATGTTCTTTCTCCTTCCTTTTTTTGTGTTATCTGGAGCACACGTGACCTTCTAACATTTTGTACATTAACTATCTGTTTATCATTTGTCTTCTTCAACCAGAAGGTAACCTACAGTAGGGCAGGGATTTTTGTCCATTTTATCCATAAATGTATCCCCAGTGCCAAGAAGATTGGCTAATATACAGTAGGTGCTCAGTAAATATTGGATGAATAAATAAATCATTTCACAGCAACATAGGGAGCATTTAGCTTCATTTTCCAGAAAAAATAAAAGCACTCAAGCTAGTATTAAGCACAAGTCACAGGATTTGCCCCTCTTATGTCAATTTATGTGACATAAATTGGCATAAATTTTATACCTTCAAGGGTATAAAAACTCAGACGAAATCATCTTCTCATTTCTCTCCTTCACACTGTTAACACAGTAAATTTTCTGTAGTTGAGATTTTATGCAAAAGCAAAAAAGAAACGGCAAAAATCCCAACCCAAACAAGCAAATATAAGCAAATGAGCAAACTTTTATTTGCATCTACTGTGTGTCAAGCTAAATTGGACTCTGTGTATTATTTTAATTAAAAATAATCCCCTTGAGTACAAATGAGAAAGAAAAAAAATGTAATCATTGGCCAACCTGTAAATTACTTTAAACAGTGTTTCTGGAGCCTTAATGCAGATGGCATATTCTGGTTGTTAATAGTCCCTTATTTCAGGGAAAATTACTCTTTGCCACTTGCTTAATTTGCCACTCAGAAACATGGGCTTATTTGGATCTAATGCTCTTGGATAGAATGTGAACTTTGAACTTCTGGTTATATTATCAATATTCCTTATGTGGCAAATTGTCTTCTTAAGAAAATACAGTTATTTTTCCCAAACATTTTTTGCTCTAAAACATACAGTATATACTCACACACACATCAATTTGGATAAAGTCTGTTTTCTAGCTAATTTTATATTCCCAGGTAATTAAAATCCTACATGATTTCAGTTCACTGTTGTTCTAAGACATCTGCTAAAAACAACTATTTACAAAAAAAAGTATTGAAATTCTGTTAATTGGTCCTACTTTTATAAAAAAAATTTTAAGTGCACAATTTTGAGTCATAGCATCTCTAAAACTCAAATATTTAAATGCTCTACTTATGTGCTTTACTGAGCACTGGAGGAGGAAGATAAGGCAATAATTGTTCATGAAAAAATACATATAAATTAAGAAAGATTGAAAATAAAATGATTACAAAATGACTTCCAAATGTCTGACAAGCTATAGCAGCCTTACAAAATTAAATAATTTTAAAGGTTTGTCTGCCAAGTGTGGTGGGTCATGCCTATAATCCCAGCACTTTGGGATTGATTGAGCATAGGAGTTTGAGACCAGCCTGGGCAACATGGTGAGACCCTGCCTCTGAAAAAAAAAAAAAAAAAAAGATAACTATATATTTTTTTAAATAAAATAAAAATAAAATTTTCCTACCATCTGAGATTACTGTGTTCACCATATGATATGGTTTGGCTGTGTCCCCACACAAATCTCATCTTGAATTTTAGCTTCCATAATTCCCATTTGTCATAGGAGAGTCCTGCTGGGAGATAATTGAATCATGGGGGCGGTTCCCCCATACTGTTCTCATGGTGGTGAATACGTTTCAAGAGATCTGATGGTTTTATAAGGGGTTTCCTTTTCTGCTTGGCTCTCATTATCTCTTGTCTGTCGCCACGTAAGACATGCCTTTGCTTCTTTTTTCCTTTCCACCGTGATTGTGAGACCTCCCCAGCCATGTGGAACTGTGAGTCCATTAAACCTCTTTCCTTTATAATTACCCAGTCTCGGGTATGTCTTTATTAGCAGTGTGATAGCAGACTAATACACCAGAGCTCTATAAAATAATATGGATGTCATGGAATAGTCATATCCGTATTTGCTGTTTAATCTTTGGCTGCAATGTCATAGATAATTAATCAATAGATAGGAATGAGCTTAGAAGACAGAAAACAGGCCTCATTGAAAAGACCAAGGTGACAGAACCAAACATGTTTATTATGGCCTTACATATACACATTCTTTCTGAGGTTAGCTTTTTTCATCTGTGATCGTTGTTTCTCATTATTGTCTGGATTCAAAGTTGAATGTCTTGTATTTATAACTGAAAAATCTCTTTGTACTCAATTCAGTGAAGAAAAAGGAGAAAACAGAGGAGTGCTCCTCCTGTAGATGTAGACTGAGGAACTCAGTGTTTTGCTCAAATATTGCTTGAAGAAATTAATTCCAATTTACAGCTAACAAAATCAGCCACACTTTACATGAGAAATATGTATAAAGACACTTGACTGAGAGATTACCAAATTCTGAGAGCTTAAATTTGATAGATTTGTTTGGAACAGAGAAATGATAATAAAATCAGTTTATACTGAATAAAATAGATGAGAGCGATAGCGAACTGGAGGTATTAATTGGGGAGTTCTTATTGTGCAATTTCCTTCTTTAAGAGGTAGGAAATTTACTAGATTCAATCATTTTTGAAATCCAAGTTCTTTCTGTTTCGTAATAAAATAAGGCACACTGTATTGCTTTGTTAAAAGTGGTAGTGTTAGAATTGAGATGACCCATTTTAATATTTTGCCTGGTTCTCACTGCAGCTAACATAGCATGTATGTAAGCAGATGTGTAGAGAGAAAACAAGTGGAAATCTTCAGAAAAACAGCCTAAAATTTGATTTCTATTTTCTATCTTTTTACCTGTCACCAATGATCTGGTCTCCAACCCTCTCTCATAAGCACCCTTGACTAACAGACACCTCCACAATTTTAGTTACAATCATTTATTCTTTGACCACTACCTCCTGTCTTTCCAGCTTACTGCCTTTCTTAATTCAACTCACAATGGTTTCTAAAATTCTAACTGTTCTGATCCATTGCTACCTTTTAGACACCAACTCCCTCTGCTGGGTTCCCCCTGAGGTCACTCTGTTTCAACTCTGAAAGATTTCCTGAGTTCCTCAAACACCCCCACACTCCCTCCACGAGATGTTTGTACTTGGAATTTTTCTTCCTGAATTACTCTTACTCCAGATATCCTCATGGCTCACGAATTAGTGATCTATTACCCCAAATTAGCAGCTTAATACAACTCATATTTATTATCTCACTCAGTTCCATAAGGTCAAGAATCTGGGAGTAGCATAGACTCTAGGAAGCAGAGATCAGCCTCAGGGTCTCTTGTGAGGTTGCCAGGAAGATATTGGCCAGAATTGCAGCCGACATGCCTCAAGCTGAGGGGTCTGCTGCCAGATGTAGGCAGGAGGCATCAGGACCTCCCCAAATGACATGCTGCATTCTGTGAACCACTGAGTCCAGCCTGTGCTCAAGAGAGAGAAATTAAGCTCCACTTCTTTAAGGAAGGAGTACAAGAAATTTGTTGGCTTTCTAAACATGATTTATTGATTCATTTATTTATTTAGAGACAGGGCCTTACTCTGTCACCCAGGCTAGAGTGCAGTGGCCCAATCATAGCTCACTGTAGTCTTGAACTCCTTAGCTCAAGTGATCTACCTCAGCTACCGGAGTAGCTGGGACTACAGGCACAAGCCACCATGCCAGGCCTCCTAAAGCTTTGGAATTACACGCATGAGCTATCTTTCCCTGCCCTGCTGGCATGCTTTAAAAGTCTTCTGAGCTCATCTCTGATGAACTCTGGGTCTCCACTCCAATGTCACCTTATCAGTGAAATTTTTCCTATTTGCCTTATATAAAATAAGAAGCCTTCTCTCTAAGCATTTGCTGGCTCCATTCACTTCACTAATACCTCTCTCCATCTAAAATATTATAGGTTTATTTCTTTCTTTATTATATATCTCTCCACCCAACCCCTGGAATATAAGCTGTAACAGGAGAAGAAATGTATGTATGTTGTTTACTGCTATATCCTCAGCACTTGGAAGAGTGCCTGGCATATAATGGGCTAAATCAATAAATAACTGCTGAATGATTAAATGAATGAATAAATAATATAAGAATAAATGCTCATTTTAGTTACCCTGAAGGCAATGTAGCCATTGAAAGATCCTGACTGGCTTATGGTTGAAGCTTCTCTTTGTGCTCATTCTTTGGTGCAGGAAACCCCTACAAGGACATGAAATTTGCCTTTGTGTTATACAGGAGTATATACACTTATCAGATAAAGTTTTTCCTTTGGACCACAAATAGAGACTTTCAAGTCCTTCATACGAATAAGCCTCAAAGGGGAGTGAACAGCTCCTGCCCAAGGATTCAGGGTCCCTTGGTGACCTGACTTTTGGGCTTTCCATCAGCACACTTGACTAGACAATTGAAATCTGCTGGCTTTTTTATCCTTTTCAGTTCTCTTTTGTTTCAAATTGCTCCCTTAAATGAAAGAATTTCTTGCCTGCTTATCCCTCATCAAACCCCTGACCTCATCTACCCCCCAGACTCAGTATCTCACCCGAGTAGCCTGCCATAGCTGTCTAATTCTTAACATGACTAACTCCCTGTGTGGCGCGTGGCGTCTGAGAGACTTCTGAGCCTGACTTCTCCTAGTCAGCCCTTTTTTCCTCTTTCCATGTCACGGCATGACACACACATTCAATGCCAAATAAGCATCCTGCATATAAAATGCTTACAGGTTAACTATATCAATGTGAAATTATTATTTAAAAAAAAAAAGGACAGCAATATAGAATAGCAAGTATTAAAAACACATGTGCTACGTTGAAATCTCAGCTCTCTCTCTAGCAAGTTGCTTAAATACTCTTAGATTAAGTCCTCGTCATTATTAGGGATTTGCACTGTCATTAGTGTTCAAAACCATCGGGATGCTAATTGGCCAAAAAGTCTCTCTACTATACCTGAATATGTATGGGAGACAGTGATTGGGAGAATAGCCCAACTATAGGAACTCAGTATCAAAAATGACAGGGGTTTCATTTTGCTGAATAAGCAGGCTTGACATTTGCTTAACATCAAGGTGCTCATCAGGTCCAATTTTAATTTCAGTATCCATATATCAAAAGGGAAAAATACACAAACTTTTGAGAATTCAAAGTTACTAATTGAAATTTTTATTTGTTTTTCCTTTTCTTCCTTATTACATTTGAGGAACTAACAGTGAAAAAGAAAAGAATCATTTCATTTTTGCAAGGAGTCTGTCAGTACAAAGGGTGAAAGAGTCTCCAAATTTAAGAAGTCAATTTCTTAAAAAAACAACAACACTATTTTCTCTTGATTTTTCCATCCACTTCTTTTGTGATATATGCAACAATATAAATAATAGTTATATCTCTAAATATGAGTCTCCAGTTAATGCCCCGGAGCTTTGATTTTACAGAAGCCTCATTTAGCCACCCTCTTTTCCTCTTTTTTCCACTCCTCCCAGGGAATTAGACATATGGTAAGTTGGAGTGAATGCAGCACAAATTAAGACAGAAGCAGAGCATATGTGAGCTATGGTGAGACTGCAAGGTCTTCATGCCACAAATTTCCCCTCAACTCGTCTGTGAACTCATCTATTCTCCAAAACAGCTAACATAGGTTTTGATACATGAAAAAATTAATGTGCAGTATACAACACGTAGAACTGACTTGCTTAGAGGGAACTGATCCTAGCAACCAACATCTCAAATAAAGTGCTAGTAAGGCTGTTTCCAGAACTCCATGGGTAAGACAGTAGAATAAAGCAGCCAAAAGGAGATATTCTAGTTATTGGCCAATCTTGAATTTTCCCTTATGATTGTAAGTAACAAAAAGGAAGAAAGGGTCATGACGATTCATCTTGGGTGTAACTATACCAGTGAAACCAACAGTAGTATCACTACATTTAATTTCTTTTACATTTACATTGACCATTTCAGAATATTATACACTTTGTTATTATCTGTACCATATAACTCAGCAGAACCTTGTAATATTTCTCTCTTCTACATGCAGGCTTTAGAAATATTGTTTCCCTTCATACCCCAAATATGTTTTCCTTCAGTTTTTCCTACTCTTCTTCATATGACTTGGTTTTAGTCTCATGCGTGACCTCTGAATGAATGCCAGTTGAACATGCTTGAATTAGTTTCCTATTGCTGCTCTAAAAATTACCACAAACTTAGTGGTGTAAAACAACAGCAGTTTACTGTCTTAAATTTCTATAGTCCATAAATCTGAAATGGGTCTCAGTGGGCTATCAAGATGCAGCAGGCATAAGATTTTTTTGGAGGCTCTAAGGCAGAAGATATTTCCTTACCTTGCCAAATGCTAGAGGCCACTACATTCCTTGAATCAGGGCATTCTTCTTCCATTTTCAAAGCCGGCAATAGGGGTTTGAATTTTTCTGGAAAGAAAAAAAAGGTTATCGGTTAGTCTAAAATCCACCCTTCCTATCCTGGAGACTCCTGGGGAAAGAGAAAACAAGAAACAGAGAGAAATAACTTGGTCAAATGTTATCAACATGCTAATTTGACTTGTTGATAGTATCTACTTAAGAAATATCTTTATCCATGGGATGTCTTTAACAGGATATCCCTGGTCTGCTAGGGTTGTTTATGGTAAATAAGCCTGGAATCTATGAATGTATGGAGAATGACACTCTAGAAAACATCAATTCTATAATTTTCTGAGACCAAAGTGGAAAGCTTGCATGTCTGAAACAGCTACCTTTGTGTGAGTGGTGTTCCACTCACATCACTAGGGGCCTCATGTGTTTATCTGGACCAGGAATCTCTTGGATCTTGCCAAAAATAAGGTGCATCCAAATGCAGCAAGGGAAGACCAGGGAGCTGTTGTGAGAGTCACAGATACGTCTTTGCTTTGCCTGTATCTCTTGATTACCTGTACCCTGGGAATTAGTAAAGTTTGATATTGGGTAAAAATCTATGATTCTTTTTGGTCTGACAATAGGACCATTGTGTTACCTCAAATATTTGGGCCAAAAGAAGAATGTCTAAAAAGGAAATATCAGCTATTATAATTCCTTCTCAGGACCCGGGAAACTGTGTTCTCTAATTAACTCATTTTTTTCCTATATATGTAAAACTTGGTTCTAGTCAATAATAAGGCTAACAAATGGTTGTGGGAATTACTGAACATTACTAACTGTTCCACCGTGAGAAGTAAATAAAAGAAAAGAAAAGGGGAAAAAAAGGGGGGAAGGAAACAATTAGAATAAGAAAAGGGAAAAGGAAAAGAATAAAAAGAGGAAAAAAAGAATACAAAGAGTTGCCTATGCTGGGAAATTGTAGGGCTTTCTCAGGAATTGCCTCATATTCTGCCAGACTCTGGCTCATGTGTAGCACACAGCTGAGTTAAAGCAGATGCGCCCTATGACAATTCACCTAGTTTGCCCCCTGGGCCCTCAAGTTGAAGAAAATTTAACTTAAGGAAAATAGGTTACTTAAGGAGAACATGTGAAAATATTCCAAATGTAGGAAAATTAACTGCCTGAACTAATGTGAATCATAGCAATTAACAGAGATGAAGATAAATAAATAATATACTTAGTACTGGTCATCAGATTTATAGAGGGCTAAAATTTGTAGAGGGTTAAGCCTCTAAAGATGGACCTGAGAAAAATTACCAGAAAGATTCAATTCTGTATCAGATTAAGACAGGATGAATTATTTTAGAGATAAATCAAAGGCAAAATATACAAATGGCTTTCATTTGGAAGAAACCTTGTCCTGTGAATACAATTAGAACATAATGGCAAAAAATGCAGGACCACAGATTCTCTTTCCAGATGGGGAAAAAACATTTAGACAAAAATATATATTTTTTAACTGACAAGATTTGGATGGGATATCTCAGAGGCGTGATTTCTTTGGCATTTGATGACTCTTAGGAGGAATGTTGTAGATTAGGTAACAGAAGAGTGTTTGAAAATAAGACACATTGTTTACTTCTAATTAGAATATCTATTATTTCATTGCACAATAATGGATAATACGTTATGGTTTCTGATGACTCTCATTTAACTCAGCATAACTTCTAACCCTCTTACCGCAGTCGACATCGCCCTCTAACATCTGGCTCTTCACTATATTTTAACTTCATTATCTGACACACAATCTCACTCTCTTTGTCCCAGTCACACAGGAATTTTTGTAGTTTCTTGAATATGTCTGTTTTTTCACTTTCTGTTCTATTTTCCTATGGTTTCCCTTCAGCTATCTACATCCATACGGATCACTTCCTCCTTTCAGTGATGTCTCTGCTCAAATGTCCCCTGACCAGAAAGATTTCTATGATCAGGGTGTCTAAAATATTGCTCCCTCATTCTCTACTTTTTTATTCTTCTTTAAGCATTTTTATGAAAGCTAAAGTTGCTAATTGAATTTCTTCTTTTTTCTCTTTTCTTACTATATTTGAGGAACTAACAATTGAAAAATAATAATTTAATTTTTGCAAAGAGGCTGTCAACACAAAGGACGAAAACGTCTCCAAATGGAAGAAGTGAATTTCTTAGAAACAAAGAAAATTAATTTTTCCCTGATTTTTAACCTACTTTTCTTGTGCTATATGCAATAATACAACTAATTATTTACATTATATTTATTTATTTATTGTCGGTCTCCCCTAACTAGAATGTAAGCTGTATAACAGCAGTGACGATGATTTCATTACTACTAAATCTCCAGAGTTTCGAATAACCTGATACATACTACCAGAAACCTACCCAACCATGTTTGTTACTTTCAAAAAGACATCTAAGAATAATTTGGTAATTCTAATATTTTTTGATATTAAAGAGTAAGTACATGTATGTGTTTGTCTGTGTGCGTATGTGTATGTGTGTATGTGCATTGCATATTTACATGTTTAAAGCTCCAGCATCCTCTTCACATTTGGCTAATTTGACCACCAGGGCTACACATATAGGACCTGGCTAGGGACAGAGGGAACTGAACACAGTAGCGCAGACATCATTTCCCTTCTGAAACTCACATCCGGGATATCTCAGAGACTAGGCTGGAACGAAACACATTTGAAAGACCCATTATATATCACATTGAAAATCTCTGCTCCCAGGGCAGCCATGTTTTATCTAGTATGTCCTTTCACTACTTAGAAAATCATGAGATGACCTGCTACTACAAGTTTCCATTTTATATACAGGGAAATATAGGTTAAGTGGATTGCTCATCTTCAAATAGCAGGGTGAACCAGAGCTTGGTCACCACACTCCATTACCCCCACCACCTTTTTTTTTTTGTCAATTTTTCATGTACACATCTGCACTCAAAATTTCAGGAAATCGAATATAGTTTAGAATATTTCCATATGAATGCCTCCCTTTCCATTCCTTGTATTCTCAAACCGGATGCTTCATAATCCACAAGCCTTGGAAATCACAAGCTTCAGAACAAGCTGTTATCACTCTGATAGCAGCTGGTGACTTAGTGTGCCAGTCCCCTCTGAGGAGAAGTGCTTGTCAAGACAGTTCAGAGAACAAAAAGCCTGTAGGAGCTCACTCCAGAAATAGAGGAGGAGTTCCCAGGATTGTGTCAAAGGACAAGTCACTTTCAAGAAATACAACTGAAAATCAAGACAGTGGAATCACAAATAGAATACAGCATATTAAAGCTGAAAGTGGCTTACAGTCTATGTGGTCTAATCTTTTCATTTCACAGATCAAGAATGGATGCCCCAGAGTAAAAATAATTTGCCCAAATTAAGAGGCAGATTTGGCTGTTAGATACAGTCCTCAACACCTATTTTCCCACTTGGATCACAATTAAAAGTCACCACAAAAATGCAAAGAAGAAATAAAACTGTCTTTGTTTACAGATGACATGATTGTCTATGTAGAAAATCCAGCAGAACACACAAGAAACTCCTACAATTAATAAGCAGTAATAGAAAGAGTACAGAATACTAGGTTAATATACAAAAGTCAGTTGCATTTCCCTATACCAGTAATGAACAAAGAAATTTGAAATTAAAACATGGTATTACTTATATAAGCACACCCCAAAATGAAATACTTCGGTGCTGTTTTATTCCATTTTTCGTTGCTTAAACAAAATACCTGAAACTGGGAAATTTATAAGATGAAATTTAATTTTCACAGTTCCGGAGACTGGGAAATCCATTGTCAAGGGGGCACATCTGGTGAGAACCTTCTTGCTGGTGGGGACTCTCTGCAGAATACTGAGGTGGGCATCCCACAGTGAGGGGATGAGTGTGCTAGCTGAGGTCTCTCTTCTTATGCAGCCACTAGCCCCTCTCCCATGACAACCTATGATTCCATTAACTCACTAATCCATTTATGAGGGCAGAGCCCTCATCACTCAATCACATCTTAAAGGCCCCACCTTTCAATACTGCAACATTGGAGATTAAGTTTCAACATGAATTTCATAAGAGACAAACAGTCAAAGGGTATAAACCTAACAAAGTATGTACAAGATCTCCATAAGTGAAACTATGAAGCTGTGGTGAAAGCAACTGAATAAGAACTAAATAGATATTTCATGTTCATTGATAGGAAGACTCAATATGGCTAAGACATCAGTTCTTCCCAATTTGGTTTAGAGAGCCAACACAGTCCCAATTAAAGTCCCAGCAAATTATTTTGTAGTTATTTACATACTGATTACGAAGTTTGTATAGAGAGGCAAAAGACCCAGAATAGCCAATACAATATTGAAGGAGAAGAACAAAGTTAGAAGACTGACACTATTCAACTTTAAGAATTATCATAAAAACATAGTAATCAAGACAGCATGCTATTGGCAAAAGAATAGACAAAAAGATCAATAGAACAGAATAGAGATCCCAACGTAGACCCACATAAATAGAGTCAAGTGATCTTTGAGAAAGGAACAAGGGCAATACAATGGAAAAAAGATAGTCACTTCAGCAAACGGTGCTAGAACAACTAGACATCTACATGCAAAAAATAAAAATAGAGTCTAGACACAGACCTTACACTCTTCACAAATAACTCAAATGGCATCATAGGTCTAAATGTGAAACACAAACTATAAACTTATGGAAGATAACAAAAGACAAAACCCAATTGACTTGGGTATGGTGATGACTTTTTAGATACAATGCCAAAGGCATAATTCATTTTAAAAAAAGGATTGAAAAGCTAGACTTTATTGAAAATAAAACCTTCTGTTCTATGAAAGATACTGCTAAAAGATGAGAAGAGAAGCCGAAGACTAGAAGAAAATATTCACAAAAGATATGTCTGATTAAAGACTGTTATTCAAAATACCCAAAAACCTATTAAAACTCAACAAGAAGAAAACAAGAACACAATTTAAGAATCTGCAAAAGCTATTCATGATGGGAAAAGCACGGAATCAACCTAGGTGCTCATCAGTGTAGAATGGATAAAGAAAATGTGGTACATATACACTGTCGAATACTATGCAGCCATATGAAAGAATGAAATCATGTTCTTTGCGGCAACATGGAGGCAGCTGGAGTCCATTATTCTAAGTGAATTAACACAGAAACAGAAAATAAAATACTGCATGTTCTCATGTACAAGTGGGAGCTAAGCATTGTATTCACATGAATGTAAAGATGGGAACGATAGACACTGGAGACTCCAAGAGCAGGGAAGGGGGAGTGGGGAAGGCTTAAAAAATGACCTGTTGGGTATGTTCACTATTTGGGTGATAGGATCAACAGAAGCTCAGCATCATGCAATATACCTATGTAACAAACCTGCACATGTATCCCAAATCTAAAATTTAAAAATTAAAAAAATGTGCAAAAGACCTGAATAGACACCTCACCAAAGAAGATATACAGATGGAAAATAAGCAATGAAAAGATGTTCAACATCATGTCACTAGAAAATTCCAAATTAAAACCACACACCTATTAGAATGGCTTAAATCAAAAACATTGATGACACCAAATGCTGACAAGGATGTGGAGCCACAGGAACTCTCATTCATTGCTGGTGGAAGTGCAAAATGTTGCAGTCAGTTTGGAAGAGAGTTTGGCACTTTCTCACATAAGTAAACATACTCTTATGATCCTGTAATTGCACTTTTTGCTATTCACTCAAATGAGTAGAAGACTTATGTCTACACAAAAAAATCTGCACAGGAATATTTATAGCAGTATTATTTATAATTGCCCAAGCTTGGAAGAAACTAACATGTTCTTCCCTAGGTGAATGAACAAATAAACTGTGGTACATCCAGACAATGAAATATTATTCAGTGCCAAAAAGAAATGAGTTATCAAGCCATGAAAAGACATAGAGATATCTTAAATGCATATTACTATGTGAAAAAAGCCAATCCCAAAGGGCTATATACTCTATGATTTCAACTATATGACATTGTAGAAAAGGCAAATCCATGGAAACAGCAAAAGGATTAGTGGTTGCCAGGCGATAGAGGGGCGTAAGGTGTCTTAGTTTAGGCTGCTATAACATAATACCATAGGCTTAAATAAGAAACATTTTTTTCTCATAGTTCTGGGAGTTAATAAATCTAAGATAAAGGCTAGAGGAGATCTGGTATCTGGTGAGGGTTCTCTTCCTGATTTGCAGGTGGCCATTATTCTCCTTGTGTCCTCACATGGCAGAGAGAAGAGAGAGAGAGAGAAAGAGAGAGAGAGAGAGCACTTGCTGATCTTATAATAGCATTAATCCCTTTCATAATGATACCACACTCATTACCTAAGTATGTCCTAAAGCAGGGATAAATAACTTGATTTTTAATATCACTATAGATTTATAATATGTCTGAATAGTGAACAGCTGGTAGGTTATTTTCATATTTTAAATTATTTTACCTAATCCTCATTTTTTCCAAAAAATCTTTTTCTTTTTCTTTTCTTTCTTTCTTTTTTTTTTTTTTTTGTTAGACAGGATTTCACTCTGTCACACAAGGTGTAGTATAGTGACAAGATCATAGCTCACTGCAACCTCAAACTCCTGAGCTCGAGTGATACTCTCACCTCAGCCTCCCAAATAGCTAGGACTACAGGCATGCACCCCTCGCCCAGCTAATTTTTTATCTTTTATTTTTTTGTAAAGATGGAGTCTCTCTGTGTTGCCCAGGTTCGTCTTGAACTCCTGGACTCAAGCATCCTCCTGCCTCAGCCTCCCAAAGTGCTGGGATTATAGGAATGAACCACTGCACCTGGTCTCGAATGAGTGATTTTTCTAATGAAGTCAGTTGGTGTAATTAAAATAATTTGCTACTAATTTTAGTGGAAAGTGGTTAAACTCTCAGATAATTCTAAAAATAATTGAAATAATTATGATGTTGAAAATACTATTATGTGTATATGTAACAACCTTCACTGTTATCTATTGATCACATTTTAATGAATGTTACAGAAATTTTGTATATGTAGTGAATTGAATTTGGAGAACACATACATGCAGAAAGAATAAGCAATTAAGTATAAGTCAGGACAGTCATAAACGGTAGTGGCCAAGAAGTTCATTGCTTTGGATTTAAAACATCTGAGCCATTTGCTGGCTATGTGAGTATTAGTGGTGTTTTTCCTCAACTTAATTTTCGATGTTCCTGAGACTAAAACCTCAGCTTAATTTTCGATGTTCCTAAGACTAAAACGGAGGAAACAATAGTATCTACTTCACAGGGTTGCATTGAGATTTAAAGAAAATAAAGCACAACTCCCAGAATATAGTATGTCCTCAACAAATGGTAGTTGAAAAAGGAGGAAGAAAGGGAGGGTGGAAAGAAAAAATAACATTTTTTTTTAAAGAAACAGTAAAACTAGCCATCTTGTAGCAATCTCCTTCCAGCCCAGTCTATTCTCTATAATACCTCTATTGTTTTCTTTGTAAAACATAAATGGGTTAAACTGCTCCCCTGCTTTAAAAGGGGGGGAACAAAACAAACAAGAAAAACACTCCCACTTCTGCCTATTAAAAAACTGCCACTTGTTAGTTGCGATGGTTTATTTTATTTTATTTTATTTTATTTTGAGATGGAGTTTCACTCCTGTCACCCAGGCTGGAGGGCAGTGGTGCCATCTCAGCTCACTGCAATGTCCACCTCCCAGGTTCAAGCAATTCTCCTGCCTCAGCCTCATGTGTAGCTGGGATTACAGATGTCAGCCACCACATCCAGCTAATTTTTGTATTTTTAGTAGAGATGGGGTTTCACCATATTGGCCAGGCTGGTCTCAAACTCCTGACCTCAGGTGATCCACCCACTTCAGCCTCCCAAAGTGCTGAGATTACAGATGTGAGCCACCATGCCCAGCCAATTTTAGATGTCAATTTGACTGAATTAAGGAATAACTAGAGAACTGTGAAAGCATTAGTTTTGGGTGTGTCTGTGCATGTGTTTCCAGAGGAGATTGGCGTATGAATCTGGGTGGATGAACTAGGGAAGATCTGCTCTCAATGGGGGCAGACCCCATCTAATCAGCTGGAGGCCATAGATAGAACAAATACAGACAAAAGGCAAATTGGTGTCTCTGTCCTGGAGTCCTTACTCCTCATCTTGTGCTTAGACATGAAATTACACATCTCCAGCCTTGGGATTCCAGGACTTACACCAGTAGCATGCCTATGTTCTAAGGCCTTTGGCCTGGGACTGAGAATTACACCATCAGCTTTTCTGGTTCTAAGGCTTCTGGACCTGAACTGAGCCATGCTACCAGTATTTCAGGATGTTCAGCTTGCAGATAGCCTGTCGCGGAACTTCTCAGCCTCTAGAATCACATGAGTCAATTCCCCTAATAAATCTCCTTTTATCTATCTGAACATCTCTCTTCATCTCTCCATCCATCCACTCATGTGTCCATCCATCCATCCATCTATTGCTATCTATCTATCCATCCATGCATCCATCCATTCAACCATCCATCCACCCATCCATCCATCCCTGTGCCATCTATATCTATCTATCTATATATCTATCTATCCATGCATCCATCCATCCATCTATCCATCTATCCATCCATCACTATCTATCCATGCATCCACCCATCCACCCATCCATCCATCCATCCATCCATCCATCCATCACTATCTATCCATCCATGCATGCATGCATCCATCCATCCATCCATCCATCCATCCATCCATCCATTTATCGCTATCTATCTATCCATCCATGTATCCATCCATCCATCTGTTCATCTATCACTGTCTATATATCTATGTATCTATCTATCCATCCATCCATGCATCCATCCATGCATCCATGCATCCATCTATCACTATCCATCCATCCATCCATCCATCCATTCATCCATCTATCTGTCTTCTACCTACCTACCTATCTAACTCTCTGGAGAACTCTGACTAATAAACTAGCTTTATAAACATGTTATTCTCTCTCTGCAATGTCTATTGCTTTATCTTCAGGAACATTCCACACATCCTGTAAGACTTCAGTTAAATTATCTCTCTGTTTCTTCTCCAATCATCCTCTGCCTTCCCTAGTCTCCTAACGTACTTTGTACATCTGTCACAAACCCCTCATCATATTTACTGTAATTTTTTTCCTACAGATTTGGATAGGAATTGAGCCATTTTTTTAATTTCACTTTTATGGTTGTTACAAATAAAAGAGCAAGCAGGCCCCTCACTGTAATTCACCTGTATTTGCATTTAACTTATTAACCAAGGCATACTATTTCAAATAATCTAATATAGTATTTCCTATTTAATAACCAAACATACAGAACAGTTCCAAGCACATGTAACCATGTGATACATTTTCCTCTTTGAATAATAAATATATTTCTTATAATTAATATGTGATAAAATTGCAATATTTTTAATCTCCTACATCCTTCTCTTTTAATCAGGTTTCCTTATCAACTGGTTCCTATCTCACGGGGTTGTTGCAGAGATGAGGAAAAAAAGTATTCTATTGGTTCATGCATCTCAAAATAGGCAGATTCTTTTCTCTGCTTCTTCCTTCATTGGCTCAGGTGTGGAGTGCTTCTCCCAATTATATGTGCCAGCCTTGGTATGTTCTCATTGCTGTACCACACTGCCTGAGACATCCAAGACCACATCTTCCTTTGGGGGCACATTGGACCTTTGTCATTGGCACTGGCAGGGAAGCTTTTATTTCACCAGGTCTAAGGCAATTCTTCCAAAAAAATCCCAAATAGTGAAAGAATTGATTTATTCTTCTAATATTTAAGCAAATGTAAAAAAAAAGTTACATTAGTTATGTTTTTTTCAGATTTTGGATCAGTGAGACTTCATTAAAACACTTTGAGGTTATAAAGCAAGTAATTTTTGTTTCCAGAAAAGTTAGTTTCCTTTGGCTGAAGGGACATCTCTATGCAGGCCAGATCAAGACAAAAATAACTTTTAAGAAGGGAAATGAGGGAATGGAGTTTGGAAAACATAAATCCCACAGCAAAGTACGTCACCAACAATAAGAGTCATCTCTTTCACAGAGGCCTTTCCTAGAAAAGCCCTGACAGACTAGGAGTCCAATCTTCGGCTCCCATAGCACCCATGCCTGCTTCCACTCTGGAGCTTACTACTTTGCGTTGAAATTAATTTTTACATGTCTATGGCTTCTATTACAAATAGCTTATTGAAAAGAGAACCATGTACATTACAAATACTTTTTTAGAGTTGCTGAACTGAACAAATCAGTACCTACGGGGTTAGTATGCTGGCTTCTATTCCAGCAGGGTTTTGAGCCATGAGATTTTGAATGCTCCCGACATTGTTAGTTCAGGATGATTAAAAATATAAATACGTAAGGATAAATAGTGTATTGAAAGGGTACCTAAAGAACACTACCCTATTAAGCTGAGATCTTTATGTCTAATTGATCAATGCAGACACCATTATAGGAAGAGGGAGAGCTATTAGAAGTCCCTCAAGTCACAGCACTTGATCAGTTCCAAACTCTGCGTCTCATAATGTTGGACAAGACATCAGAGACAACATGACAGAATAACTTTCATGGTCAATGTAATGAGATCAGTCTGCTGGAATTCTACCTCTGCAATACACTGAAGCTTAAAACCTTAGGGAAATGTGTAACCCTCCAATCCAAGTCAGTCTTCCATACATTGGTAGATGAATACGACATTGCAATACCACACAAGAGTAAGAGTAATCATGTGAGGATAAAATGGGATAAATATATAAGGCATATGACAGAGTTAACAACTGCATTTGACTAAAAGTGATACATTTATTCTCTTTACAACATTATTCTTTAAACCTTTTTCTAAATGTACAAACAGTCTAGAGGTAGGTAATTTTTTCAGTCTATAGAAGAAATTCAGCATTGCCAGAACCATCTGCCTTCACTTAGTCTGCTATCCTTAGGTTTTACTTGTTGCTATATCATCACGAGATCGCTAATCCACTCTTAGAATCCTATTCATCCTTCCTAGACAAATGGAGAGGGAGGGAGGTAGGAGAGAGGAAGGAAGGAAGGGAGGGAGGGAGGAAGGAAGGAAGGGAGGGAGGGAGGGAGGAAAGTGGGAGGGAGGGAGGAAAGAAAAGAAGCAAAGAAGGAAGGGAAAGAAGGAAGGCAGGCAAAGAGAGAGGGAGAGAGAATGCAAAAGGAGTTCATGCCAACTGAGTTAGTCTCCTGTAAAGAGCTTCAGTAGCAGTACCTCTGAATGACTTCCATGTACGTCTCACAGGTCATGATCTTGTCACTTAAGCACTTCTTGTTTCAAGGGAGACTAGCTTTTTGTTTGTATGCATGTTGATTTTTTCTTTGTTTGTAAGCTGACACACTGCCATCGTAAATAAGAGATGGGCAGATCACAAGGTCAGGAGATGGAGATCATCTTGGCTCACATGGTGAAACCCTGTCTCTACTAAAAATACAAAAAATTAACCAGGCATGGTGGCGGGTGCCTGTAGTCCCAGCTACTGGGGAGGCTGAGGCAGGAGAATGGTGTGAACCCAGGAGGTGGAGCTTGCAGTGAGCTGAGATCGCGCCACTGCAGTCTGGGCGACAGAGCAAGACTCTGTCTCCAAAAAAAAAAAAAAAAAAGTTAGTAGGGAACAAGAGGAAAACAGATATCAGTAGTACTGCTAGCATTAGTTGTTTCTGCCACAGGAACAAGGTATCCCAAATTCTCACAAGAAAAAGTCTGGTTTCTATGTTATAGTAGAAAAAAGAAAATGCAAAGGAGGGGGAGTTTTCTCTTTTTTTTTTTTTTTTTTTTTTTAAGATAAATATTCCAGGCAATTATGTGCATTTGTGAATCACTCTAATTTCAGCTTCAGTATTCAGTTGAGTGGCAGGACAATCTATATTGCTCTTGATTCCCTTTCCCAATAAAACATCTGGCTACATACTAGAATTTTCATTAAAGGATCACAGGGAGCTTCAACATAATTCATTTCTAAGTCTTTTTCTGGCAAGTCCTTGTATAAAACAATCTTCCCTTTAATATGAATCTGATAATCTTTTCCTGGCATGAGAATTACTTTCAACTGTTATAATGAAGATTTGTTTTTGAATAAAGGGACCTTTTGCCAACAAGATGAGAGAGAATATGGGGGAGAAAGGATGTTATATTGTTACAGGATGATATATTATTATTTTCAAAGCTCTGAGGAGAGAGACTCAACCTTGTCAGCCTTGATTTATGTTTGTTCATTCTGTGATTCAATAGGAAGGGCAGGTGAGCTTTACTAAAATGTTTTGTTATATATTTTTCTACTGAGTGCATTGAAAAGCATCTCGCACACCTTGTCTCACTTTCTCTCATTAGCACTGTGAAGGGTTGAGCTTTCATTGAGTGGAGGTTGCATATCATTATGACCACAAAGCCATTCACATACCTATGTGTATGTACCTAAACTCAAAATGACTTCAAATAAGCATAAGGTTCCTTGAGATCAGATTACTAATGGAGAAATTAGGATATATACTTGGAAACTTTTAAAACTCATTTATAGGGGCCCAAGCGTGGTGGCTTACGCTTGTAATCCCAGCACTTTGGGAGGCCGAGGCAGGTGAATCGCTTGAGGTCAGCACTTGGAGACCAGCCTGGACAACACGGGGAAACCCCATCTCTACTAAAAATACAAAAATTAGCTGGGTGTGGTGGCGTGTGCCTGTAATCTCAGCTACTAGGGAGGCTGAGGCAGAAGAATTGCTTGAATCTAGGAGGCTGAGGTTGCAGTGAGCTGAGATCACGCCACTGCACTCCAGCTTGGGTGGCAGAGGGAGATTCCATCTCAAAAACAAACAAACAAAGAAAAATACAAAAATCCATTTATAGGCAGCTAAATTTTGGCAAAATTTCAAAATATTTTACTACTTTTAAAGGTTTTCCTAAAAATACATAAAGCATAAAATCTCTACTTAAAAGTAAATACAGAGACATATCCATATCCTACCTGAGAATGCAAAAGTAACACCTGAAGTATACCTGGATTACTTCAGTGTAAAGTTGTTTTCTTTTTAATCTGCTTCATGATTTATGGTTTTATGGTAACTCATTATGTCATTAGATTTATTAATTTCACCCTGTAGGATGCTTAGGTTGCATGTCCTGATTATGAATATCCTACTTCCTTGAACATTGTCAAGCACAAGACCCATGTTTATGAAACTAACTTTTATATAATGAATAACTTAAATATCTAGCTTTATTTTATCTTATTGCTAAACTACTGTTCCAACGCTATTTTTAAACAATTTTATCCTGTTTTCCCATATTTTGAAATATCATTGTTATCATATATTATCTTCCTATATGCATTGGAGGCTACTTATGGACTTCTGATAACTAAATGTCTTTTCCTTTCTGCTTCATAATTTTTATGTCATGTTTATATTAAGGGTGTGGAACTTTTTTTTTTTTTGAGATGGAGTGTCACTTTGTCACCCAGGCTGGAGTGCAGTGGCGCAATCTCAGCTCAATGCAACCTCCACCTCTTGGGTTCAAGAAATTCTCCTCCCTCAGCCTCCCAAGCAGCTGGGATTACAGGCATCCACCACCATGCCTGGCTATTTTTTTTTTTTTTTTTTGGTAGAGACAGGGTTTCACCATGTTGGCCAGGCTGGTTTCAAATTCCTGACCTCAAATGATCTGCCCATCTTGGCTTCCCAAAATGCTGCAATTACAGGCATAAGCCACTGTGCCCGGCCACATATTTTTATTATATTCATCTCTAAGTAGTTTTAAAAGATATACTATTTCAAACATTTCCAAGAATTCAGGAGTGAAGCTGTCTAGGCCTGAAGTTTTCCATGTGGGAGACTGCAGTGTTTTTCATTGAGTTCAGATATTTTTGATGTTCTTTGTTATTTTGTAGCATTTGTTAAGTTTTCATTTTGTAGGGATTTTTCCAATGTATCTAAATTTTCAAATTCATCTTGGTATTCATAATATTACTTCCATTTGTGGCATAATGTCTATGTTGTTTAAGCTCATTCTATATTTTCTATATATTTTTTCTTCTTGCTTCAGTCTGGTTATTTTATATTGGTCTACGTTTCACTCTACCTTTTTTCCAATATGCATTTTTAAAATTTCAGCTATTACATATCAGTTTTAAAAAACTCCAGTTCGAGGCCGGGCGCAGTGGCTCATGCCTATAATCCCAGCACTTTGGGAAGCTGAGACAGGTGGATCGTTTGAGCTCAAGAGTTTGAGACTAGCCTGGGCAACATGGCAAAACCCCATCTCTACCCAAAATACAAAAATTAGCTGGGTGTAGTGGCACATGCCTGTGGTCCCAGCTACTCAGGAGGCTGAGGTGGGAGAATCGACTGAGCCTGGGAGGTCAAGGCTGCAGTGAACTGTCATGGCACCACCGCACTCCAGCCTGGGTGGCAGAGTGAGACCCTGTCTCAAAAAATAAAATAAAATAAAATAAAAATAGAATACTCCTGTTTACTTGTGAAAGCATTGTCGTGTAAAGTATTTTCTTAAATATATGCATGAGTTGTTTTTACATCCATGTTTGATAAATACAATATAGAAATCACTTGTTGGCTTGTTCCTATTGTCTATTTTTGGAGTTGTGGCTTGTTATTTACATATTACATATATGTAATGTTATTTATATTTTTTGTAATATGTCTGTGTTTGCTCTAAGTTTTACAAAACGTTTGTTTATTACATCATGGTTTACCTTCAAACACTATCATGCCTCTTCATATAAAATGTAAAAATCTTACAAGAATATACTTCTACTGTCCTTTGTACTATTGTCAAACATTGTACATCTATATACATTAAATATCCTACAATACATTACTAATATTTTTATTTTAGACAGTTAATTACCTTTTAGTGAAATTTTTAAATGAAAGCAAAAATTATATTGCATATTCTCTTTCAAAATTACCACTTTTGGCCTTCATTAATATGGGTAAATCAGTGGTTACCATGATGAGGGGTGGGAGTTTGACTCCCAGGTGATTTAGGAATATCTGTAGATATTTTTACTAGCTGCAGCTAGGCTAGGGTGGGGGAGCAATTGCCACTGGCATGTAGTGGGTAGGGGCCAGAAATGGTGATAGCACCCTATAGTGAACATGACAGCCCCTCCACAAAGAATTATTTGTTTCTCTACACTCTCTATGCTCTGGTATTTGTGCCAACGGTCCCGAGTTTGAGACACTCTAGTATAAATTCAAGTTTCTACACTATATATAGAAGGTCTATAGTGCAGGCCAACTGGCATGGAATAACCTCAGCTCTTATTGTCCATCAAAGTCTTCATTTCACCTTCATTTTTAAAATACACTTTCACTAGGTATAGAGTTGTGTATTGAGAGTATTTAATTTCAGCACTTTAAAGAAATCATCCATTGTTACCTGGTTTGCATAGCTTCTGTCAACTCATCCGTCATTATTCCACTGTGGGTAACATAGGCTTTCTCTCAGGCTGATTTTAAAATTTCTGCTTATCTCTTAGTTTCAGTAATTTGAATATGGTTTCTCTTGAAGTGACTGTGTTTATCCTGCTTGGGATATACTGGAATTTTTGAATCTGTATAGATATTAACAACTTAAAAGAAATCTTAGCCATTATTTCTTCCAATTTTTTTCTGTTCCCTTCACTTCTGGGACTCCAACTCCCCATGTGTTTGACTGCATTCTGTGCTCCTAGTGTTCACTGAGACTCTGCTTATTTACCTATTTTGCCTTTGTGTTTCATATTGGATAGCTATTGCCATACCTTCAAGTTTACTGATATTTTCTTCGGCAGTGTCTAATTTCCTTTAATCACATTCATTACATTAACTTTTTCCCTATATTGAATTTTATGCTCTAGGAGTTCCATTAGTGCCTTAATGCATCTTCCATATCTCCTCTAATTATTTTTGTTTTCTTTTAAACCCTTGAGTATATTTATAATGACTGTCTTAAAGTCCTTGTCTGCTCTTGCAGCCATGAGACTGCCTCAGAAACCTACATGGAGGATCATAGACTGAGGACTCAAGCTGCTGCACTTTGAAATCTCTCACTGTATTTGCACTAAAGTCATATCTCCCATAGGCTTCTTTCTGTCAATTGCTGAGTGTGATGGAACTGCTAACGCTGGTCCACTTCAGGGAGACAAAGGACTCCTTAGTTGGGAGACTTTGGTTCAAGGACAGAACAATGATTTTGTCAAATCTTACTTACACTGCATGGAGTGTAGGATTTTTCCACCCAATCTTCTCTTCCTTTTCTCTTCACTTGGGTCAGAGTTGAATTCTGGTTTGGTTGCATTATCAGCTTTCCCCAGATCACTCTCTATTTCCTTTCACCAGCCTTAACCCTGTTGAAATCCTTTTTACCTTTAATCCCATTGTCGCATCTGCTTCTTGGAGGACCCAATAATGTGTTAATTTTGTCTTCTGTTTGACTTCTGTTCTCTTCTATTGACCAATTTTTATCCTAATCCTGAATCAAATTTATCTGTTACTTCACAAGTCTATTAACTTTTTTTATGGCTGGAGGGCAGTTGTACAATCATAGTCCACTGTAGCCTTGACCTCCTGGGCTCAGGTGATCCCCCCACCTCAGCCTCCTGGGTAGCTGGGACTACAGGTGCTTGCCAACACGCCTGGCTAATCTTTTATATTTTTTTGCAGCGATGAGTTTTGCCATGTTGCCCGGGCTGGTCTTGAACTCCTGGGCTCAAGTGATCTACCCACCTCAGCCTCCCAAAGCATGGGGATTACAGGCATGAGTCACAGCACCCAGCCGAATTTTACATTGTTGACTACTGAATTTTGTATTCCTAAAGAGTACTGACCTTCAATCAGTAAGCAATGAAATTACTTACACATAAGCTTGATCCTTTAAGACTTGGTTTTACTTCTTTTAGGGCAGGTTTAAGGAAACATTGCCTCTAAATTTGGCTTAGTCTAGTGACTTATGTGTCAGCATTCTAAAGTCCTTGCTGAATGCCTCATGTATCCAGCAGAGGTTTTTTTTTTTCACTATGACTGGAAGTCTTTCAGGAGATCCTCAAGTTTGCATGCGCTTTGGAAGCTGTTTAGTTTGTAAGGTCCAGTAATCTTCTTTCCCTGTTGTTTTTATTAGACAGCATCATGGAGTTTTCACCTCCAAAAGTAAAGACTGACATTCAACAAAAGACTCAATTGGCCTCTTTTACAGATTTCAGGAGTTCTTTCTCTCCTTATCTTTTTCCCCTCTGGCACCCTGAACTGCAGTTCTAGCCCCTTTCACCTCTTGAAATTCAGTACCTGTTTTATCTATTCAAAGAGGCCACTTAGCTCTGTCTGAGTTTTTCTGTCTTCACCACAGACAAGAGATTGCTATCAGTCAGAAAATGGGGCAATCAAAAGGTTTATTGTTGTTTTCATTGTTTTTCAACTCTGGCTTGTTTTGCTTTTATCTAGTCTCTGAAAAATTTTTCCTTTTGTTTTCCAGCTTTCAAGTGGTTTAAGACAAGAGAGACTATCCTGTGGGAATTACCCCTTCACAAGCAGGAAGAGTAATCTATTGTCTGTATTTTTACCTTTGTTTTCAGGCATTTAGTCTTGTCTCTTTCCATGCTTGTTATCTTTTTATTTGTATGATCTATTAAAAAAAAATGCTGAGGTTCTGGGTGACGTTTTCTTCCTCCAGAGAGAATTTGACTTCTGGTTATGAGAGGCAAATTACAACCTAAATTTCCACTAATAGATTAGTGTAAAACCAGTGGTATCATATCTGTAAATTAGAGTATTATACAACTGTCATAATATAATGTAGATCTATATGAGCTGATCTGTAGAGATATCTATGACATATTGTATTAGTTTGATAGGCCTGTGATAACAAAGTACCACAGACTAGGTGGGAGCTAAACAAGAAAAATTTATTTTCTCCGAACTCTGGAGACTAGCTATCTAAGATCAAAGTGTTGGCAGGATTACTTTCTTCTAATGGCCTCTCTCTTTGGCTTTTTAATGGCTGCCCTCTTCTAGTGTCTCATGTGGTCTTCTGTCTGTGCCAGCCTGTGTTCTAATCTCCTCTTCTTACAATGACGTCATGTAATAGCCCAACAGGTTCTTCCTGTCTGCTGCACAGACAAAACCAATTCACTGAGACTGTGGTATTGCAGTAAAGAAGGAGTTTAATTAATACAAGGCTGGCCATGTGGGAGAATTGGAGTTATCACTTAAAACAGTCTTCCTGAGAACTCAGAGGTTAGAAATTTTGTGAATAATTTGATGGGCAGGGAGCTAGGGAATGGGTACTGCTGACTGATTGGAGATGAAATCATAGGGGTGTGGGTCTGGGAGCGGTGGCTCATGCCTGTAATCCCAGCATTTTGGGAGGCCGAGGCGGGCAGATCACTTGAGGCCAGGAGTTTGAGACCAGCTTGACCAACATGATGAAATCTCATCTCTACTAAAAATATAAAAATTAGCCAGTTGTGGTGGTGCACAACTGTAATCCCAGCTACTCGGGAGGCTGAGGCAAGAGAACAGCTTGAATCTGGGAGGTGGAGGTGAGCCTAGATTGTGCCACTGCACTCCAGCCTTGGCCACAGAGTGAGACGTAGTCTCAAAAAAAAAAAAAAAAAGGCATAGGGGTGTGGAAAACAGTCCTTGTGCAGGGAGTCCACCTCTGAGTGGGACCACGGGACCGGCTGAGTCATGAGTCATGGGTCCAGGTGCAGTCAGTTGGTTATCAGAATGCAAAAATCTGCAAAAGGTCTCAAAAGACCAATTTTAGGTTCTACAATAGTGATGTTATCTACAGAAGCAATTGAGGAAGTCATAAATCTTGTGACCTCTGGCCACATGACTCCTGAGCAGTAAGAGATTATAAAAACTATGCTTACCTTCTAGCAGAATTCAGGCCCCTCCCATAATCCTAATCTTGTGGCTTTTCATTCTAATCTTGTGGCCTTTCATTAGTTTTTCATTCCTGAGCAAGGAGGGGGTTTGTTTTAGGGAAGGACTATTATCATCCTTGCTTTCAAGTTAATCTACAAACTAAATTCCCCTTGTGGTTAGCTTGGCCTATACTCAGTAATTGGTGAAGACAGCCAGCCTGTGAGGCTAGAAGCAAGATGCAGTCAGCCATGTTAGGTTTCTCTCACTGTCATAATCTTTGCAAAGGTGGTCATATTGGGATAGGGCTCACCATATGACATCATTTTATCTTGATTACCTCTTTAAAGGCCCTATCTCTAAATACAGTCACATCCTGGGATACTGGGTATTAGGACTTTGACATATGCATTTTTTGAGGGAAAACACAATTCAGCCCATAATATATATTTTAATGTAAATAAGACAATATGGCTTGGGCACAGTGGTTCATGCCTGTGATCCCAGCACTTTGGGTGGCCTAGATGGGCAGATCACTTGAGGCCAAGAGTTTGAGTCCAGCCTGGCCAACATGGTGAAACCCCATCTCTACATAAAAATACAAAAATTAGCTGGGCATGGTGGCGCACATCTGTAATCCCAGCTACTCAGGAGGCTGAGGCAGGAGAATTATTTGATTCCGGAAGGCGAGTTTGCAGTGAGCCAAGATGGTGCCACTGCATTCCAGCCTGGGCGACAGAGCAAGACTCTGTCTCAATAAATAAACAAATAAATAAATAAATAATATATGAATAGTACGTTTAATAAGATTTACTTGCCTTTAAAGCATTTATAAATATGTATTTACATACATTTTTTATTAGACTTCAAAGAAAGTATTAATAACATTTTTTTCTCTGAAAAATTGGACTGAGAGTTTATGGAGACAAGGAGAGAAAGGATATAAATGCACTTTTAAGTCTTTTTTTTACAGTTTGAGTCCTTTACCATACTTCCGTATTACTATTATAATGAAGAGAGAAATAACTTTATCAACTTTCACATTTTAGTGATGAATAAATCATGGCTCAAATTTACCTGGAGTCACTCAATTATTTCCTGATAAAGCCAGGACTGCAATACAAGGTTTATGACAGTCATACCAGTTATCTTTTACGCCTTCCAAATAGCCATTCTACCCTTACATAGTGATTGTATATACAGATCTTAACTTTCCATTTCATTACTTGCATAGGTAATTTGAATCACATGATAATGTGTTAGTGTAAGCAAGTTATTCCAAGCACTTAGTGGAAGCCATTACGTTTAGATTCTCATTCTTCGTCACCTTGGTTACTTCCTGTTGCCTGGTGTATATTTAATATGACTTTATCTTAAGATATTACTGTGTAATAGGTCATTCTGCTCTAAATTTTTAGCTCCTGTCCTTAAATATCCTATTACCATCTTTGTTACAGTAGAAACTCTGGCAATACCAGGCCTCCTTGATCTTTGGCTTTCTCTGTAAGACCCGATGTTCACCCAACTTCCAACCCAATAGTAGGCCCAATTCTTACCACATTTCCTTTATTACCTGGTACTATTGTAATAGTTGCCCCTAATTGTCTTCAGTGATCAGACCTGGATTGACATCCTGGGATGGACTAAATTTAACTCTGTGCCACCTTGTGATTCCCAGAAATATATATAAGGCTGCCAGACCCCTCATGCGGTGTCCTCTCACTTGAACAGAGTTGAGAAAATGCAATCGTGAATGCTCCCCTCATGTGAGAGACTATATAATTCACTGTGAACAGTCAAATGTCACTTCATTACAGGGATCTTCACTTTAAACACAGGACTTCTTTGGCTGAAATTAGAAAGGACCTGATGTGGCAGAAACAGCAGCAGGATTTCAAAGAATTCCACTGTTAGGTGGCTTGGACAATTTGTTCTGAAACTGCACATGGTTTTGAATTTACTTCCTTTTAAGTGACTCTCTCATCTGGTTCTGTGAAGATGGAAGACTCAATTAAGGAACCACTGTGTAGCAGTCACAACTGGGTCCTTTATCTTGCTCAGTATGGAGGGGGAGAAAAAGACTCTGGAACAAAATGTGCCGTAGCAGTTTCACTTGACCTTTCTTTACTGACTAGGCTCATTCAAAGTTGTATTTTTTTTTTTTAAAAGAAGAAGCATAAAAGGCATCAAATGGCTTAGCTGTTTCCTTTAAGCACTGTGGCTGTAGCGGAAAGAGGTCTGTATGCCATAGGTTGAAGAAAATGATTCATCCTGTCTTTTACTCCCTTAGGGGATTGCTGAAACTTCTCCTCCTTCACTATAGCGTCCTATACACTCTCATCCAAATTTATTATTCTTATCTGCTTTTACCCACAGAGTTCAAAATAGGGAATTCAGGTTGACCTGGGTGATGTCAAGAGAAAAAAGAGAGAAGAATGTCACAGTTGATTCTAGGGCCCCCATGAGGCTTCGTGGACAGAATAAAGTGAATTGGGATCAGCCCTGAGAAAATACATATTTGCTAAACAGGTAAAATGAATCTTCAGTTTTGTCAGGGATTGACACAGAGGCATTTTAGCTAATAAGCATCCTTACAGAATTTTAATTGATCCTATTGACAAAAACCGAATTAGCTCAATTTTTCACAAACAGGTCTTGTAGAAAGAGATAATTATGTGCTCTGTTAAATAAGGACTTCTAAAGCAGGGTATAGGAAGCCTAGGTGCATAAGATGATCATTTGGAGTACTGAAAGAAAACTTAATAGAATTAAAACTTCTATTTATACATCTATTTTACCTAAAAATATGAAAAAAATTACTCTCTAGAATGTGTATGAGTTGAAACCCACACCCTTCAGTCATGTCTAAAACACAGAGGGCCAGGTGTTAATGAGAGAGCGTGACAGGATCAAAAGTGGCAACTAGTTCCTTTGTTTTTATCTGTTGTTGCTATCATAGTTTATACAGAGGTGAATAAGTTGATCTATTGATTGCATTATCTAGATTTAACTATGATTTCTACTAATCATAGAAAAACTATGATTTCTACTAATAGCCATTGAGGAAAGCCAGGTCTTCTGGAAAAGGCTAGCAAACCTCAATATCAGCAAATAAGTCTCATTAGCAAATAATTCCTATGGAGACTCCATAGGAATTAATCATCTCAACTTGTTTAGTAAAATTCCTGCAAATGATACACAGAAAACATAAACCACAAATGCAACACAAAAGTATCAAAATAAAAGAATTAGCACTTTTACCCTTAAAAGGAGCTTTTCATCATTCATATTAAAAATTAAAGACAAAAATGGCTTAGTAACACCTACCATATTTAATCAGATTTCTCCAAGTCTAAAATAAATCATTGATAATAAATCCATGAGTACACTGTGGATTTTGTTTTACGAGTTAAAACTGGACAAAATTTTGTTTAAATACTTGTCTTTCTTTTTTTACCGCATCTTCTTGAATGTTATATTTGTAGTAGACTTTCTGAGGTTCAGTAGTAAATATATATAATTTATAATAAGATAGTACAATTAGGGATACATGATTGAAATATTTTATTGATAGAGTATATCATCAAAAGAGTTTAGAGACCACTGGTGAGATTTCCACTTCCCTCTGACCAGAGGGGAAAAAAAAACACTGTGCTTTGAACCAAAGAAAGTCCTTGTTAGTCATCACTGGAGCAAACCACATGCCTTTTCCAGAAACAAATATCAAAATAGAGGAGTTAGGAAACAGTGGTGCCATATTTTGCGGGTCATGCACATTTGGATAAACAAAGGGAGAGACATGAGCTCAGGGAAAGGTGAAGACCTTTTAAGAGTTGTTTTCAGGTGATACTTGGGCATTCACATTCCTAAAAGAGTAGCACATTTCAGATGGAGTAACAAAGGCTATATTAAATTACAAATTCCCCAGGTAAAGTTTAAAAATTATTCTCCTTAGCTCTATCCCCTTTCCCAGCCTGGCTCCAGCAAAAAGTCAGCATAAAATTCCGCATGCGGCTGGGCACGGTGGCTCAAGCCTTTAATCCCAGGACTTTGGGAGGCCGAGGAGGGTAGATCATGAGGTCAGGACAAGACCAGCCTGACCAACATGGTGAAACCTCGTCTGTACTAAAAATACAAAAATTAGCCCGGCGTGGTGGCACGCACCAGTAATCCCAGCTACTCAGGGGACTGAGGCAGGAGAATTGCTGGAACCCGGGAGGAGGAAGTTACAGTGAGCCATGATTGCGCCACTGCACTCCAGCCTGGGCAATAGAGCGAGACTCCGTCTCGAGAAAAAAACACACACACACGCACAGAAAAAAACCAAAAACCAAAAAACAACAACAACAAAAGTCCATATGCATTACTACCCATTTGCTAGTGCATCAGACGAAAGCTCTATTCAAGGAGGTAGAATACTACTCACAGTATCTCTTGTTCAGAGATAAGGAAACTTTCTCAAGAAGAACGAGCTGCTTTTCTTTTTGATAAACCATGCATCCCACAACTCATGGATAACTTTGTGATGATATTGATTTCTACTAATAGCCATTGAGGAAAGCCAGGTCTTCTGGAAAAGGCTAGCAAACCTGAATATCAGCAAATAAGACTCATTAGCAAATAATTCCTATCGAGACTCCAGATAAGATAGAAGAAGATGAAGCCTCATCCTTTCTGTTCTACTGCCCACAGATTTGGGTCAGTGCACTGATTGCCCTTTCCTGAGGTTTCCATAATGTCAGGCTTCCATAATCCTGCTCTTGACCAGCCTTAGTTTTGCTTAGTAACTCTATTAAGAAATACTCAAAGACTTTAGTACTTGTATGTTCATGAATAAAATCTACTACACTGCAGGACTGTGGTTTTATAGCATCTGCCTGGATTGCACTTATTTAGGTGGAATGCAATCAAGCATGACTGTAAGAAAAAAAGAGATAAAATCCAGTGTGACTTTTTTTAAATGCATTAAAGCTACACTATTCACATTCTGCTAAGAAAGAGAAAGTGAACATATATGTACCTAGAAGATAGAGTTTTCCCAAAAGCAAACATGCTTTCATAAGAATTAGTTTAAGTTTCTTTTGATTCTTACAATTGGAATGAACATTTTCTTGAGTCAGAAGCAAGATATGGGGTTGGTACATCTACATTTTGTCTAGAATATGGGATCAAGAAAGCTATGAGCAATCTATTTGCAAAACTGGATACAAAACTGGATACAAACCTTTGGGAGAACTTTATGTCCTTGAGCTGCTATTTCCTGCAAGCAGGTTGAGTGAAATTCACTCAGATTTATTGTTATTAAAATTCTTCCTCATCATTATGAGCCTCATTATCATCCCCAGGTGTACATAGCACTTTTCTTTCCAGATGCTTAAGTTGTTTTACTTATATTACTGTAGCCATTTTTAAGTATGCTTAAAATATCAGCTCACACACTTACCCCTACAATATCTCCCTATGGAGAAAAAGGAAAAGTAAAATGATTTAAATCGACATTTTTCCCTCAGTCTCTGGCTAGAGAATCCGGCCATTCCATTGGATTCACTTATCAATTTATTTCATTTATTCTTATAGTAGTATTCCAGTGAGATAAGAAGTGGAAGGCATTTTCACCACCTAATAACAAATGGAACAGAGGTACAGAATATTTTTAAAAAGACTTGTCCAAGGACACATTCTGAATTAGCAATATGGTAACAAGTTAGCCAAAGCCTTCTGATCTTCACACCAATCTTCTTCCTGCTCAAATATGCAAATTCAATGATATAGACTTTTTGAGATCTAGTCTGTGCAAGCCATGTGCTTTGAACTCCTGCACACATAGAAACTACAAACCTCAGGGATGGTAAGTAGGGCAGGCATAAGCATATACAATCAGAGAGTCATAGCAGCTTTATGGAAAGAAAACAGATTTTAGATTGAGGTCAAAGCAGATTTGAAGCAAGTAACTTAATGTGGCTTTCGGTACTGCTATTACCTCGGTTAAGTTTTTAAAGCAGAGGTTTCTCATCAAGAATAATTTTAAGGATTAAAATTATTACAGAGTTGTTTTAAGGATTAAATAAGATTGGTACATGTAGAAAACATCATGTTTTATATTTGTTGTTTCTTTATCATTATGGTTATTATTGCTGTTATTGCTTTAATGACATTGTGTCCTTTAGCTTTAGAGTGCAAAGACTCTTGACTACCATTTATGATTAGGAGGCTCTGGTGAGTATAATATATGATTTGTTTGCTTTCTGGTTCCATGAACCCTCCCTCCACTGCTTTCACTCAATACCCAAATTTGGGTTCAGCTCTGCCCCAAACCCAGACTGCCCATGGCCAGCGGGACTTTGATGAATGTTCATAAGTCAAGTGAGAAACACCACCTCTTCCTATCTGGGGGTACTTTTGTAGTAAGCTCTTTTTTTGTAACTGGTCTCCTGCTTTGTGATCATATCCTCATCTTGAAGTATACTTTGTGTATTAGTCCATTTTCACACTGCTCTAAAGAAATATCCGAGACTGGGTAATTTATAAAGGAAAGAGGTTTAATTAATTCACAGTTCTCCATGGCTGTGGAGGCCTCAGGAAACTTACAATCATGGCAGAAGGCAAAGAAGAAGCAGGCGTCTTCTCCACAAGGTGACAGGAGAAAGAGCGTGTGAAGAAGGAACTGTCAAACACTTACGAAACCATCAGATCTCATGAGAACTCACTCAGTATCATAAGAACAGCATGGGGGAAGCTGCCCCCATGATCCAGTCAACTCCCTCCCTGTACACATGGGTATTACAGGTCCTGCCCTCGACACATGGGGATTACAATTCAAGATGGGATTTGGGTGGGGACACAGAGCCAAACCATATCCCTTGGCATCTACTTTTGCCTTTTTTACCTGAACAGTAACTTGGATCCCTCAAACTCACGACGTGGAGACTTGCTTTGGTCAGTTTTAATGATTCTGAAACACATCTCATTCTTGGTCCTATGAGTGGCCCCTGAACTCAGCTGTTGGTGCTATTTTTTTTACCAGGTTCACTGCATATCCTTTGCCCCAAACTCCTTATTTATGAAAAAACTGCTTCCTAAGTAAGGGACAGCTCATTTTATGGATTGCTACTGTCCTCCCAGTGTCTAGGTCTCCTAACTATCCCCAGAGCCACTGGGTAGAGCAATTGTCTGACTACATGGACTTCCTCCCAGTACATCAAACCTTGATCCATTCATGTCTACTCCACGCTGGTTGGCACGTTCAGATGTCTGACCCTCACCCCTTCTGCTCACCTCTGACTTAACTTTTGTTGACACTTCCTTCTCTCAGTTCCAACAGGAAGAGGGGTACCTTAGAGGTTTCCAATCCAAACAAGATTTGCAGCCAATACTGATATCCAAGGAAATTCAGATTATATTGAATATCAACAGAAGACTGACATTGTAAAAAGGGTCATCAGATGGAAGTCTGAGGGACATTCTGAAGGAGCTAAGACTGATGGGGTGGCTAGGTCGAGGCCCACAGTAAGCATAGACCTTCAGGTCACTCTATATCAGTTGGCAGAGACACCCCCTTCTTCTTCCTTCCTTCTCATTTGCTGCCAATATAATGGTGTTTCCCCAATCACAGTTTTGTGGCCCCAATAACCTCACCAGTTACCTGATGGTCAAAATTTTTCATAATTTAGAACACATTGTGAGATTTTACAGTACTATAAGGCTTTATCTAGAAGGAATCAGGTAGACTTTTCAGTATAAACTATACTCCCATTTTTTCCTTTATCTAAAGCAAAATTTATGTGTTGCATTTGATTCTTCATTTTGCTATTATTTTGCCTGTAGGCCAAGAATGTGATGGTTAATTCTGTGTCAACTTGACTGAGTCAGCATGTATCCAGATATTTAGTTCAACATTATTTCTGGGTGTATATATGTGAGTGCTTCTAGAGGAGATGAGCATTTGAATCGGTGGACTGAGTGAAGCAGACGGCCCTCCCTGATGTGGGTGGACATTGCTCAATCTGTTGAGGGCCTGAACAGAACAAAAAGTCACAGGAAGAGATAAATTACTCTCTCTGTCAGATTGTCTTTGACCTAAGATATCAATCTTTCCTGCCTTCAAAATGAGACTTATACCATCAGCACTCCTCGCTTTTCACACCTTCAGACTTGCACTAGATTTACACTATCAGGTTTCCTGGTTCTCAGACCTTCAGACTCAGACTGGAACTACAGCGCAAGCTTTCCTTGGTCTTCAGCTTGCAGACAAAAGAACATGGGACTTATCAGCTTCCATAATTATTGCATAAGCCAATTACTTATAATAAAAATCTCTCTTTCTCTCTCTCTCTCTCCTTTCTCTCTCTCTCTCCCTCACCCCACCTCTCCTATTGACTCTGTTTCTATGGATAACTCTGATTAATACAGGCTAATTTTTAAAAGGTCAAAAATAAAATTAGAAACAAAAATCTTAAAAAATGGTTCAAGGAGTAACCGGTGCCAAGGCTTATAATAATAAGAACTTTCCTCGTCTGCCACAGTAGCACTGTGAGGAGTGAAGAGAGGACCTCTGCACTCAGGGCACTGCTGGAAAGTCCTATATCTTCTCTTCCCCACCCCACAACACCTTGACTCTCACCAGCACTGCTTACCTCAATGCCATTAGGATAATCATCATTATGAATTTTATCCCTTTTAACATCATCTCTCATTTCTTGATGTTAATACTCATATAGATCCATGGGAAAGAAGGGGTGCCTCTACTCACTGACCACACCCAGACTGTGGACAACTATCCAGCTCTCATTTTCTCAGTAATTCTTGTTATCACTTTACATTGTTTTTCTTTTTTTTTTTTCTCTTCCCTCACTAGAATGTAAGTTTCATGGGGGCAAACATTTTGTATTAGGCTGGTGCAAAAGTAATTGTGATTTTTGCCATTAAAAATAATTGCAGTTTTGCCATGTTGGTGTTTTTGTATATTTCATTTACTGAAGTATTCTCAGCATTTAAAACAGTGCTGAGATGGAGTGGCATACTTGTTCAAAAATTTAACCATAATTGTAATGATAATGATAGTATTCTATTCATTAAGCACTTTTAATAAGTCAAGCATTATGCTAGGTTATTTGAGTATATTATTTCAGTTTATCTTTGCATAACTCTATGAAATAGGCTCTTTCACTAGCTCTATAGCATAGAGAAGTTGAATAATTTGTTTAAGGCTATTCAGCTGATAAGTGACAGAGTTCACAAGAAGTCCCCATTCTGGCAGCTCTTGGAATGACTTGACTTTCTGGACTCTGGACACCATCTGCAGATGCCCTAGTCAAGACACCATGCTTTTTAGGAGAAATGCTGACAATCTGTTGCATCAGATCACAGTTCTGCTGAACTTCATAGTATATTGTCCCCCTGATTAGTTTTTTGGGTTCTCCATCTTTAGGTAGGCTTAGGTTTTCCTTTCACAGATTTAATATAGAAAGCTGGCTGCTTCTTGTCTTTTCTCCTAGTCTACCCAAGCTACGCTTCACTGAGGACCCCACGCTCTCCCTGGCCTCCACTTTTTAGACTGTGCTCTGCTTTAGGTTTGTAATTCTCATGTTAAGGCTATTAGTGTGACTCTATCTTGTTCCATGGCATGGGTGAAGATAATATCTACTCCACTGGACTTTTATTACCTATTGTGGACAGGACACAGCTACAGGACCTGCTACATAGCTTCTGGCCAAAACCTTGGTTCTTTTTGATGAATCTTGTTCCCTTGTCCCTACATCTCACCACGATATTCAAACTTCTAAAGTGGAAGAGAAGAAAAAGAAACTGCTTAGCTTGCACTAGAATACAAAAGCTCTATCTTTGGTGCTACAATTAGTATCTAAATGGCCTAATGCATGTAGCATTTATACTAGAGAGAAATATAGGACAGTATAGCCATATCCTGAATGTTCTATCTCTAAACAATTGTATCGATTGCATTTTTTTTTCAACAGTATACCTTTGTCCTCCCTCTCAGATTAGAACTTAATTTTGGTCTGAGGAAATAAATTTACTTGAAAACAAATACGATGCAGCTGCATGAGGCCAATTAAAAATCTTGCCTTAGATCCCAAGTAGGACCACCCATTTGAAATTATCAATGTACATTTCTAGTTCGGACTCATTCTCTGGCTTTGATCTATCTCTAGGCATTAAATAACAATCATAAATTACCAATCTTTCTTATGCATAACTCTGTTTTTCATGCTTTTAGCAATGGCATGAACTATTATATTTTCCTTTCACCTCAGCATCTTAAAATTCATTCTTGCCTAATCAATTATGGGCACAGGTTACCAAAGCTTCAAGTTTCTTTGCAAATGCAGTTTCCTTAATATACATAACCTTGATTTAGAGTTACAACTTTCCTTTACCTTTTTTTGTACTTTTTTTAAACCTTTTCTTTCTTTCTTCCCCCTTCCCCAACTTGTCTTTCCTTTATTTTTTCTGTCTGTGTTTTTCAAAATATTTCTTAGCATTTAATGTAAGCAATTCACTGCATCAAACATGGGAAACAAGGATGCATACAGCACAGTCCCTCTGCTAAAGGGATTATTATTTATAGGGCAGAGACTTACACAATGGAAAAAATACGTGTTGGGTATCCAAACAAGATGGCACTGTGGCTTTTCCCTCGGCTCTCATTGAAATGAGTAATACAGGCATTATCAAAATCAATTATGGAAACTAGAAAAGAATCTATCCATTAACTTACAACATTGCAAAGTTTCAATGCAAGGAGGTTAGCGGAGACTGGATACAGAAGGATGGAATAGCAGGCCAATTTGAGGTTCCTCCTATCTTATCTCTCCTCTAATTGTAAAACTACAAACATGCTCCTAACTTAGGAAAGGATGGAGTTGAGAGAAAGTCATAGGTTTGCTTGGAAAACTCTATGTTGGACTCTTTTTTGCCACTCTTTTTTGGCCATATCTAGCAGAAGAGAGGGTACTACTCCTATTTCCCTGGGGGAGCACAGAATTTTTTTCAAGTACTTGAAGATACTTTCCTTAGCTTTTAATACGTATGTTTCTATTTGACTTGATAGATCAAAATTAGATAGACTTCTGGCCAAAACCTTAGCTCTTTTTGATGAATCTTGTTCTCTTGTCCCTACATCTCACCATGATATTCAAAAAAGTTAAAGTTAACTTAAAAAAAAAAGAGAAAGTAAAGTTAAGGAAATAACAAAAGGAGATGAAAATATGAATTAATATGTAAAAATAACAAGTATATTTTAGAGCATGTTTTTGAAAACTTAACAAGATAGAAAAACTACCAGCTAACTTAATTAAGAAATAAGGGAGATGTAATCCCAGCACTTTGAGAGGCCGAGGCAGGCGGATTACGAGATCAGGAGATTGAGACCATCCTGGCTAACGTGGTGAAACCCCGTCTCTACTAAAAATACAAAAAAATTGGCTGGGCGTGTTGGCGGGTGCCTGTAGTCCCAGCTACGGGAGGCTGAGGCAGGAGAATGGCGTAAACCTAGGAGCCTGTAGTGAGCCGAGATTGCGCCACTGCACTCCAGCCTGGGCAACAGAGCAACACTCCATCTCAAAAATACATAAATAAATAAATAAATAAATAATAAAAAGAAATAAGGGAGAAAGGCAAATGTACCAAATAAACAAAAAAAAGTGATAGAAAAATATCACATTTCAATGAATTCAGTACTTCATTAAAACATAAGAAATATTATTAAACTATCATGAGACTAACTTGAAAAATATTATGAATATAAATTTGAAAACCTAGATAAAATAAAAAATCCTCAGGAAATTTTTACCTACCAAATTATACTTGAAATAGAAAATTAAAAATCTTAGTTTCTTTACAAGAATTTGAGAAATTTGCCAAAGAGATATGCCCCCATTAACAGAAAAAGAAAAAAATAAGAGAAAAACAAAAGCAAAAAAAAAAAAAAACTCAAAAAAAACCCTAGAACACTAGATCCAGAAGTTTTCAAGAAAAAATTTCACAATAGTTTCTAAGACTAAATGATTTCAATGCTACCTTAACTATTAGAAAGAATATATTCAAATTTTTATTAGGAAGCCAGTAAAACACTTCTATTTAAATTCAATAAAGCTTGCACAATTAAAAAAAAACTAAAGGGTAATTTTCTGTCATAGTTACATGCACAAAATTTGGAAATAAAATACAGAATACATATTTTTAAAAACTTCCATGACCACAGTAATGTAATATCTCTGAGAAAAATTATATAATTGTCTATTAAGCTATTGAAAAAGTCTTTGAAAAAACCAACACTTATTTCTGATTAAAACAAATAAAATATAAATCAATGGCTCTTCCTTAACATGATAAAAATGTACATAACTCAGATTAAAATCCAGAATTTTACCTAATGGAAAAAAACTGTAGGCTTTTCTAAGGAAATGTTGCTCACAATTTTTACTACTATTTAACTATGTATTAAAGATATTATGAAGTAGATTCAGTCTTTTAAAATAGTATTAGAAGCATAAGTCTTAAAAGGAGAAAAGGGTAAAGTTATTTCTAATTGCAGATGTGCCTGTAATTATATGCCTGGAAAACCCAAGATAATCAATAATAAATGTAATACAAACAAATGAAAAAATCCAGAAAAAAAGGATACAAAATTAACATAGAAGGCTGGGCGCCATGGCCCATGCCTGTAATCCCAGCACTTATTCGAACCCAGGAGTTCAAGACCAGCCTGGCCAACATGGCAAAACTTCAGCACTACTAAAAATTTCAAAAGATGGTGGCAGGTGCCTGTAGTCCCAGCTACTCAGGATGGTGAGGCGCGAGAATTGCTTAAATGTAGGAGGTGGAGGTTGCAGTGAGCCAAGACGCCATTGCACTCCAGCCTGGGTGACAGAGACAGACTCTGTCTCAAAAAAAGAGAAAAAAGAAAAAAAGAAGTTAACATACAAAAGCCAACAGCCTTCATATACACAAAGAATATTTTGTTAGAAGACATAATGGAGGAGAAAATCTGATTTGTAATATCAGAAAAATAAAATTAACTACCAAATAATAAACTTCATAAACCTAACCAGAAATATGCAAAACTCATACAATGAAAACTTTGATACAATTCATAGTCAAAAAAAGTGAACTTCAGTAAATGAGAAGACATTTTATGTTATTAGAAATAGAATCTCTCAACATCGTAGACATATAAATTATTCTTGCATTAATATATAAATTTAACATTATTTCAATAAATATACCAAGATTACTTTTCCTCCAGAGATAGGCAAATTCATTATAAATTTTATGTAGAAAATAAACAAGAATAGTAACAAACTAATTAACCAAAAAAAGACAGTAAAACGTATTAAAGTATTCAGCCCTATTACTGTATCCAGCCTTATATTAAAATATACTAAGAAGTATCTATAATTAACATAGTATATTATTGGCTCTTGAATGGAGAGTAAGTTAGTAGAAAAGGATATGAAGCCCAGAAATTGATGCAAGGATATAAGCAAACTGGGTATATGCTAACAATGGCATGTTAAAAAAATAGGTGGTATTAGAACAACTCAATAATCATTGGGAAAAAGATAAATCAGTGTGGCAATTCCTCAAGGAATTAGAACCAGAAATACCATTTGACCCAGCAATCCCATTACTTGGTATATACCCAAAGGATTTTAAATCATTCTACTATAAACACACATGCACATGTATGTTTATTGCAGCACTGTTCACAATAGCAAAGACTTCGAACCAATTCAAATGCCCATCAATGATAGACTGGATAAAGAAATGTGGCACATATATACCATGGAATACTATGCAGCCATAAAAAAGGATGAATTCATGTCTTTTGCAGGGACATGGATGAAGCTGGAAACCATCATTCTCAGCAAACTGACACAGGAACAGAAGACTAAACACTGAATGTTCTCACTCATAAGTGGGAGTTGAACAATGAGAAAACATGGACACAGGGAGGGGAACATCACACACCATGGCTTGTTGAGGGGTGGGAGACTAGGGGAGGGATAGCGTTAGGAGAAATACCTAATGTAGATGACGGGTTGATGGGTGAAGCAAACCACCATGGCATGTGTATACTTATGTAACAAACCTGCACGTTCTGCCCATGTATCCTAGAACTTAAAGTATATAACAAAAAGATAAATCACAATGCATGCCTCCCAATATACATTATAATAAATTTGAAATGGATCTAACACTTAAGAAAAAGATTGAGTTCATATAAGTATTAGAGGAAAACTTGGGCCAATTTCTTTAAAACTTCAGAGTGGCAAAAGTTTGTTTTCACCATGACTCAAACTCCAGAAACAATGAAGTATTGATATATTTTATTGCTTAATAACTAAACAGAAACCAGAAACTTCTTCCCGGCCAAAAAATAATAATAATCAAGAGAATAAGAAAGACAGATCAGAAGAAAATATTTGAAATGCATGTCACGTTAACATTTATGATCTAATAATCTTTTTGTTTGTTTGTTTTTGTTAGACAGAGTCTCCCTCCGTCGCCCCGGCTGGAGTGCAGTGGAGCGATCTCAGGGCACACTGCAACCTTCACCTCCCAGGTTCAAGTGATTCTCCTGCCTCAGCCTCCTGAGTAGCAGGGATTACAGGCCCACACCACCACGCCCAGCTAATTTTTGTATTTTTTAGTAGAGACAGGGTTTCTCCATATTGGCCAGGCTGGTCTCAAACTCCTGATATCAGGTGATCCACCTGCCTCGGCCTCCCAAAGTCTGAGGATTCAATAATCTTAATATTTAAGGAACCTATAAAAATCAAGAGTGAAGAGCGAATCCACTTCCAGAATAGCAGAAAAGGAGCACAATAAAACAACTCTTTAACTACAGAAAATTATTTTTAAACAATTGTTTAAAATGGAATTTAAATTAAATTTTAATTAAATTTTTAATTTGGAAATTGTCCTAAGAGCATACAACAAATGGAGACACATTTAATATTAAGGAAATTCTACTAAATTTCAACAAGAACAGCAAGAGGGTAGCATGAGAGCCACTATCCACTCCTCCCAGCCACTTCAAGCTGCATCTTACAGAAATGATTCCAGATGCTCTATTCTGAGCAGATGTGGCCAAGAAGATGAGTGTTTCCCCCCCCCCCCACCTCCTAGTCTAGAGCTACAATTTCATCCCAGGAAAAGTAATCTGTTCTTTTTCCTCTGCCCCACTCTCATGTTGGAAAGGTTCTCTGGCTAGCGTGTGTGGCCAAAATAATTAGTGTTCTTTTCAGTTCAACCTCTACTAATAGGATGAAAGCTCTAATCCAGGTACAGACAACTGAGCATACTGGACCCTTTTCATGCCCTCCTCAGCTTCTTCGTAAGACTGTTGATGGTAGGGGCAAGCCAAGACTACCAGGGACTACCACAACCCCATCTCTCTACCTTATAGAACAAGTGTCATTCTGGAAAAAAGCAGGACACTGCCCTCACCCAGTGCACTGATGGAAAGTCTTGTAAGGAAGAAGAAGCAGGCATTAAAGAGAAGAGTTCTTCAGCTTTACCTGAAAAAACTAAATTTATTTGGAATAGAACTTAGAGAATCCGATGCCTAAAGGCATTGTCAAAAACAACGGTGTTCTTGGCTGGAAAATATTAAGAAGCTCTCATAATTCCACGATACTGGTGGCAACAAGCAAAAAATGGAACAGCAGCCAGTTTAACAGAGAGAGCCAGGTTACAAAGACAGCTAAGAAGAGCCCCCATGGGATCACAGTCAACCCTGGAGGATGAGAAGTCTGTATGCTTCTGCTACGCTGTCTCCACTCAGAAACAATTACAACAGTATGTGAAGCAGTATTGAAAACTTCCCAAGCTGCACACAGATTCATTGAAAAGGGCAGAAGCCTCATTAATACTAGAGTCTGAGGCACAACCTATGACCGAACACTGGCTGAACAATAAGCTACTCTGACCAAGTGACAAATCCTATGAAGCTTAGACATAAAAAGAAAATCACACATTCCTGCTGGTATGGAATAATGTGTGCATGTCCAAGGCTTCACACTCTAATAATCAAAGACAAAAAATGCAAGCTACTATTCCCTGGTAGAACTAGTGGACCAAACACATAAACTCCTTGAACTGTGATAGCAACCTTGGAAGTATATACATATTCAATAATAAATGATAAGTATCTGTCTGGCCATGTTGGTTTAAGTAGTCTTTGACCATTTATTAATGGCTTATGCTGATCCAGAGTTTACTGCTAGGTCATCATTCTAAAAGATACAAACAAGAAAAAAATTGTGCAGGGACACAGAGACTATACACAATGAGGGAAATAGACTTCAGAGACTAAGTTCAGCCAGATAACTGATAAATAAATGAAAAAGCAAACAACAAAAATACCAGCACCCCAAGGGAATCGGTATCCAGAGTAGCTAAAATATATTATTGCAAATGTCCAATCGTCAACCAAAAAAAATTATAAGACATGAAAGGGTACAGAAAAGTATGACCCATACCCAGGGAACAAACACAGGACCCGGAAAATGATTTTGAAGGGCTTTCAATGTTGGACTTAGCAGAAAAACACATCAAAGAAGCTATTATAAATATGTTCAAAGAACTAAGTAAATCACATCTCAAAAATTAAATAAATGTATAATGACAAAATCTAAACAAAGAATATTGATAATAAGATAGAAATATAAAAACAGAAATAATAATTCTGGAATTGAAAAGTATGAGCAATATGAAAAATTATTTAATGAAGCTCAAAATAGACCTGAGCTGGCAGAAAAAATAATCAGTGAATTAAAGATGGATGGAGATTATGCAATTAGAAGAACAGAGGGAAAAATGCAATGAAGAAAAAGGCATAGACCCTCAAATAAATGTGAGATGCCATTAAGTACACCAACACCTACACTAGAAGGAGGAGAGAGAAAAAGACAGAAAAAAATTGAAGATATAATGCCTGAAAATTTCCCAAATTTGAAGAAAACATTACTCGATACAACTAAGAAGCTCAAGGAACTCCAAGTATGACAAACACAAAAAGATCCACATCTAGACACATTGTAGCCAAAATGTTAAAAGCCAAAAGATAAAGAGAAAATCTTGAAAACAGTAAGAAAAGTGACTCATCATACACAAAGGAAACCAAATAACATTAACAGCTGAATTCTCATCAGATATAATGGAAGGTAGAAGGCAGTGGGATGACATATTCAAAGTACTACAAGAAAAAGAAAACATCAACTAACAATCTTATAACTAGGAAAAATACCTATCAAAAATAAAGGTCAAGTAAGAACATTCCAAGATTAAAACAATACTGAGGGCTGGGCGCGGTGGCTCACACCTGTAATCCCAGCAGTTTGGGAGGCTGAGGCAGGCAGATCATGAGGTCAGGAGTTTGAGACCAGCCTGACCAACATGGTGAAACCCTGTCTCTACTAAAAATACAAAAGTTAGCTGGGCATGGTGGCAAGCACCTGTAATCCCAGCTACTCAGGAGGCTGAGGCAGGAGAATCACTTGAACCTGGGAGGCAGAGGTTGCAGTGAGCCAAGATCGTCCCACTGCAGCCTGGGCAAGAAAGCAAGACTCCATCTCAAAAAAAAAAAAAAAATACTGAGACAACTTGTTGCTAGCAGAAATGCATACATTTGACAATAATAGGATAAAAGAGTTGAATGGAAACTGTATTGGAAGTGGGTGGAAAGCTGTGTTGAAGACAGACATGACACTAGATGGTAAATGGAATTCACAAGAAGGAATGAAGGGAATCAGAACTAGTAAATAAAAAAGTAACTGTATAAGTCAGGGCTCTCTAGAGGGACAGAACCTAATTGGATATATCTAATAGTATACATATATAAATATTTTATATATATATATATGTATATAAGTTTGTTAAGTATTAACTTACACAATCACAAGATCCCACAATACTGGCTGTCTACAAGCTTGAGGAGCAAGGAGAGTCAGTCCGAGTCTCAAAACTGAAGAACTTGAAGTCCGATATTTGAGGGCAGGAAGCATCTGGCACGGGAGAAAAATGTAGGCTGGGATGCTAGACTGTTCTCACTTTTTAACATTTTTCTGCCGGCTTTATATTCTCTGGAAGCTGATTAGTTGGTGCCCACCAGATTAAGGGTGGGTCTGCCTTCCCCAGTGCACTGACTCAAATGTGAATCTCCTTTGGCAACACTCTCACAGACACACCCAGGATCAACACTTTGCATCCTTCAATCCACTCAAGTTGATATTCAGTATTAACCATCACAAGCCCACCCCTTGTCAATTTGAACGCATACACATCTCCTGAGATCAAAATTAATCTTCAAATAAAGACAATAATAAGGTCATAATCACATCTAACATAATACAGCCATCCTTTGTACAACTGGAAATGTGCCAATCCCTTACCCAAATACTATTACATAAAGTTAACAATACTTAAATGCTGATATGAAGTCAACACATCTTATGTCACATGATAAAGGAAAATAAAATTAAATGAACAAATTTTCTTAGTATAAATGTATACATGCACAAGCATGTTTTTAACAAAAGAAGGAGGAAATACTCATGACAATTACAGTCCTTATCTCTGCACCTGGTCACATAGTGGTAGCTGGTATTGATGACTACCTTCTTCTACTATCCATTCTGTATTCCCATTGCCTTCAGCAAGCATCTCAGCAAGTCGTGGATTTTTTCCTGTTAGAGTGACCAAAACCTTCATTCCTGAGGGGTCTGGACCATTTGTAGTCCTGCCTGGATTGGGCTGTTATAGTTTCCCATTTACCTTAATCACAGGGTATGGTAATACTAAGAGACACCCTAACGGATCTCCTGCATTTCTTGCATACTCTTCCTTACCTCCATTATGGAGTAGAAGACTGATTTCATCTTGATAGTCTGGGTCAATCACCACAGCCAAAACTGTAGTTCCCTTCTTAGCCTGTTGACTTAAAGGTAGGAGGAGCTCAAAGTGTCCAGGTGGCAATCTTAACTTCCAGTTTAATGCAATTATTGTTGTGTCTCTTGGTAGCAGCATTCTTCCCTCTGTAACTAAGACCTCTAGGACAGCAGAATGTAATGTCATGGGAACAGGAAGCAAAAATTTTGCTAGTGGCTCACTAGGGGTGATGATGAGAGGTGCCACTTCCACTCCTTGATTCCTGGACCCATGAATCCTGGCTATGGGAGAAACAGTGCCATATATTGGATGCTGATTCAGAGCATACTCGGCCTTCTGGAGAACTCTGCCGCAGCTTGCAAAGTATTGTCACCTAGCTGGCATTGTAATTCTGGCTTCAAAAGGCCATTTCTTCATTATATCAATCCAGCTGCTTCAGGATAATGGGGAATATGGAAATACCAGTGAATTCCATGAGCTTGAGCCCATGGATGCACTTTTTTAGCCATAAAGTGAGTGCCTTGGTCAGAGAATATGCTGTATGGAATACCATGACAGTGGATAAGGCATTCTGTGAGTACACAGATGGTAGTCTTGGCAGAAGCATTGCCTGCAGAATAGGAAAACCCATATCTAGAGTAAGTGTCTATTCCAGTGAGGACAAACCTCTGCTCTTTCCATGATGGAAGAGGTCCAATATAATCAACCTGCCACCAGATAGCTGGCTGATCACCCCAAGGAATGGTGCCATATTGAGGGCTCAGTGTTGGTCTCTGCTACTGGCAAATTGGGCACTCAGCAGTGGCCATAGTCAGGTCAGCTTTGGTGAGTAGAAGTCCATGTTGCTGAACCCATGTGTAACCTCCATCCCTGCCACCATGGCCACTTTGTTCATAGGCCCATTGGGTGATGACAGGAGTGGCTGGGGAAAGAGGCTGAATGGTGTCCACAGAATGAGTCATCCTATCCACTTGATTATTAAAATCCTCCTCTGCTGAGGTCACCCATTGGTGAGCACTCACGTGGGATACAAATATCTTCATAATCTTGACCACTCAGAGAGGTCCATCCACATACCTCTTCTCCAAATTTCTTTGTCACCAATTTTCCAATCATGCTTCTTCCAAGTCCCTGACCATCCAGCCAAACCATTGGCTACAGCCAATGAATCAGTATGTAATTGCACATCTGGCTATTTCTTCTTCTATGTAAAGTGCACAACCAGGTGCACTGCCCACTGGGAAAATTTACCTTCACCGCTGTCCTTCAGGGATATCCTAGAAAGGGGCTGCAGTGCTGCAGCTGTCCACTTTCGGGTGGTGCCTGCATATCGTGCAGAACCATCTGTGAACCTAGCCTTCTCTTCCTCTGTCAACTGATCATAGGGAACTCTCGATGAGGCCATTGATACCTGATGGGGGAGAGGAGGCAGGGTGGCAGGAGTGGAGACCATGGGCATGTAAGCCACTTCCTCATGTAATTTACTTGTGCCTTCAGGACCTGCTGTTGTATATCATATATATATCACTGCCATTTGATGACGGAATGCTGCTGTGCACGACCCACTTTTGCCTAATGGGTTAGAAAGCACCTAGTTCATAATAGGCAGTTCAAGTTGCATGGTGACTTGATGACCCCGAGTCAAACGTTCAGTTTCCACCAAAGCCCATCAACAGGCCAAGGGCTATCTCTCCAAAGGAGAGTAGTTATCTACAGAAGATGTGAGGGCCTTGCTCCAAAATCCTAGAGGCCTCCACTGTGATTCACCTATGGGGGCCTGCCAAAGGCTCCAAACAGCATCCCTATCTGCCACTGACACCTCAAGCACAATTGAATCTACAGGGTCATATGGCCCAAGTGGCAGAGCAGCCTGCACAGCAGCCTGGACCTATTGCACAGCCTTCTCCTGTTCTGAGCCCCACTCAAAACTGGCAGCCTTTCGGATCATTCAATAAATGGACTGGAGTAACACACCCAAATGAGGAATGTGTTGCCTCCAAAATCCAAATAGGCCTACTAGGCATTGCGGCTCTTTCTTGGTTGTAGGAGAGGTCAAATGCAGCAACTTATCCTTCACCTTAGAAAGAATATCTTGACAGGCCCTACATCACTGGACCGCTAGAAATTCTACTGAAGTAGAAGATCCCTGAATCTTAGTTGAATTTATTTCCCATCCTCTGGCATGCACGTCTCACCAATAAGTCCAGTCTGTTTGCTACTTCTTGCTCACTGGATCCAATCAGCATAATGTCATCAATGTAAGGGACCAGCGTGATATCTTGTGGAAGCAAAAAGCAATCAGGGTCTCTCCAAATAAGATTATGACACAAAGCTGGAGAGTTGATATACCCCTGAGGTAGGACAGTAAAGGCATATTGCTGGCCTTGCCAGCTGAAGGCAAATTGCTTCTGGTGGGCCTTATGGACAAGAATGGAGAAAAAGGCATTTGCCAAGTCAGTGGCTGCATACCAGGTACCAGGAGATGTGTTAATTTGCTCAAGCAGTGAAACCACATCTGGTACAGCAGCTACAATTGGAGTCACCACTTGGTTAAGCCTACAGTAATCCACTGACATTCTCCAAGATCCGTCTGTCTTCTGCACAGGCCAAATGGGAGAGTTGAACAGTGATGTAGTGGGAATCACCACCCCTGCATCTTTCAAGTCAATGTCATAGGTTAAAAAAAAAAAAATGGGAGGGCCATTATAGAATAAAAGTAACCAAAGAGATATAGAAACAAAATGCAATATGTAGACCTTAAAGGGATCTCATTCAAATAAAAGTAGCTTTAGAAAACATGTTTGGAAATATTAGAAGAAATTGAATAAAGACTATAAAACTATATATTAGTTGGCTGAGTGCAGTGGCTCACAATTGTAATCTCAGCACTTTGGGAGGCAGAAACAGGTGGATCATGAGGTCAAGAGATCAAGACCATCCTGGCCAACATGGTGAAACCCCATCTCTACTAAAAAAAAAAAAAAAAAAAAAAAAATTAGATGGGGATGGTGGCACACACCTGTGGTCCCAGCTGCTCAGGAGGCTGAAGCAGGAGAATCACTTGAACCCATGAGGCGGAGGTTGCAGGGAGCCGAGATTGCACCACTGCACTCCAGCCTGGCGACAGAGTGTCTCTGTCTCAAATCTCTTTGAGACAGAGATTCTGTCTCAAATCTCTTTGAGACAGAGATTCTGTCTCAAAACAAACAAACAAACAAACAAAAAGCAACAACAAAAAACTACATATTAGTTGATATCAGGGATTGTTCGTTTCCCTTGGTGTGATAATAAAATAGTGATTATATATACCAATGTACTTATTTCTACAGATATGTGCTAAAATATTTAGAAGTGTCATATCTGAAAATTTCTTTAAAATATCTGCAGCCTGCTGTGGTGGTGCTTTCCTGTAATCCCAGCTACTCAGGAGGTTAAGGAGAGGGCATCATTTGAACGGAGTTTGAGGTTGCAGTGAGCTGAGTGCACCACTGCACTCCAGCCTGGGTGACAGAGGGAGACCCAAGACCCCATCTCTCAAAAAACAAAAAACAAAAACAAAAAACGTTAAGCAAACACACAAACACAAAGAGAGCTAAAGCAACTATAAAATATTAATTCTTAGCCAGGCGCAGTGGCTCAGGCCTGTAATCCCAGCACTTTGGGAGGCTGAGGCGGGCGGAACACGAGGTCAGGAGATTGAGACCATCCTGGCTAACACAGTGAAACCCTGTCTCTACGAAAAAATACAAAAAATTATCCAGGCGTGGTGGCGGGCGCCTGTAGTCCCAGCTACTTGGGAGGCTGAGGCAGGAGAATGGCATGAACCCAGGAGGGGGAGCTTGCAGTGAGCAGAGATTATGCCACGCCACTGCACTCCAGCCTGGGCGACAGAGCGAGACTCCATCTCAAAAAAAAAAATTAATTTTTGAATCTACTTGATGGGTATGTTGGTGTTCATTAAACTATTCTTTTGACTTTTGTCTATGTTTACCTTGTTATAATAAAAATTGGAAAATATCTTTTTCATTCCTCAGCTTTTATGATAATAGTTTTCAAACAGGTATAAAACTTAACCTTATTAAGATACATGATATTAAAATATATTAGTAACTCTGCTTAATGTTTTAAAAATATTTCTGTTTAGAGAAATTATTGATAAATCAATATTTATGTTTTGAGATAATAATTTTTAGCTAAATATTGTTTCTGTTAAAAACTGCTGAACAGTAAATATCTGTAGGTGGTGGGATTTTGTGTTACTTATTTTCTGAATTTTCTGGTTATTTAATAAAATAATTATTATCCTTTATTAGATATTCTCTCTGCGTTAAGCACCATGCTACATTTTTTACATATAATTCTCACAAAAACACGTGAACTATTAGAGGGATAGGATTGATGGGAGATGAGACAAACCAGGTGAAATTGTAAAAGGTTTGCATAAGCACTATGAGAAATGAGAGAGGGATATATTCAGGGATACACAACGGGATTTCCAAGTATGGTTGAGAGCCTCGTTTAGGGTGGATCCATGGGTGATATCGTAAAATATAAGTCATCTACCTTCTGCAATAGTGGTATTTCTTCTCATTTCATAGCCCATGTGGAGGAACAGAGAAGATAGATATATGGATGGGTCTAAGAGTGGGGTTGGCAGGGCAAATGCAATAAAAGGATAAGAACACATGAATTGATCATGCTGACAAAAAGAGTGATTGAAGGTAATATACCACATGATTCAGAGAAGCAGTGAAGCCTTGGCTGGAAGGTGGTAGGTCATGGGCGAAGGGTTATGAGTATGTGGGAGTCATGCACAACAAAGCAACCTTTTTTTTTTATAGATAAGGACATTAACTGAAGTCAGAATCCACCCATTAGGACATTCTCAAATATACAAACTATCCACTGCAGACAGTCAGAATTATAAAGGGATAAGACATCCACACTTTCAGTCTTACTAGGAAAAGAGAGCCTTTGTGTAAGAAGGTAGCTGAAACCTAAAGAATTGAAGATGTTTGAGTCTTTAATCCATCTTGAATTAATTTTTGTGTAAGGTGTAAGGAAGGGATCCAGTTTCAGCTTTCTACATATGGCCAGCCAGTTTTCCCAGCACCATTTATTAAATAGGGAATCCTTTTCCCCATTGCTTGTTTTTGTCAGGTTTGTCAAAGATCAGATGGTTGTAGACATGTGGCATTATTTCTGAGGGCTCTGTTCTGTTCCATTGGTCTATATCTCTGTTTTGATACCAGTATCATGCTATGCTGGTTACTGTAGCCTTGTAGTATAGTTTGAAGTCAAGTAGCATGATGCCTCCAGCTTTGTTCTTTTTGCTTAGGATTGTCATGGCTATGCAGGCTCTTTTTTGTTTCCATATGAACTTTAAAGTAGTTTTTTCCAATTCTGTGAAGAAAGTCATTGGTAGCTTGATGGTGATGGTACTGAATCTATAAATTACCTTGGGCAGTATGGCCATTTTCACGATATTGATTCTTCCTACCCATAAGCATGGAATGTTCTTCCATTTGTTTGTATCCTCTTTTATTTCATTGAGCAGTGGTTTGTAGTTCTCCTTGAAGAGCTCCTTCACATCCCTTGTAAGTTGGATCCCTAGGTATTTTATTCTCTTTGAAGCAATTGTGAATGGGAGTTCACTCGTGATTTGGCTCTCTGTTTGTTATTGGTATATAAGAATGCTTGTGATTTTTGCACATTGATTTTGTAAACTGAGACTTTGCTGAAGTTGCCTATCAGCTTAAGGAGATTTTGGGCTGAGACAATGGGGTTTTCTAGATATACAATCATGTCATCTGGATTAAAGACTTAAATGTTAGACCTAAAACCATAAAAACCCTAGAAAAAAACCTAGGCAATACCATTCAGGACATAGGCATGGGCAAGGACTTCATGTCCAAAACACCAAAAGCAATGGCAACAAAAGCCAAAATTGACAAATGGGATCTAATTAAACTAAAGAGCTTCTGCACAGCAAAAGAAACTACCATCAGAGTGAACAGGCAACCTACAGAATGGGAGAAAATTTTTGCAATTTACTCATCTGGCAAAGGGCTAATATCCAGAATTTACAATGAACTCAAACAAATTTACAAGAAAAAAAAAAAACAACCCCATCAAAAAGTGGGCAAAGGATATGAACAGACACTTCTCAAAAGAAGACATTTATGCAGCCAAAAGACATGTGAAAAAATGCTCATCATCACTGGCCATCAGAGAAATGCAAATCAAAACCACAATGGGATACCATCTCACAACAGTTAGAACGGCGATCATTAAAAAGTCAAGAAACAACAGGTGCTGGAGAGGATGTGGAGAAATAGGAACACTTTTACACTGTTGGTGGGACTGTAAACTAGTTCAACCATTGTGGAAGTCAGTGTGGCGATTCCTCAGGGATCTAGAACTAGAAATACCATTTGACCCAGCCATCCCATTACTGGGTATATACCCAAAGGATTATAAATCATGCTGCTATAAAGACACATGCACACGTATGTTTATTGTGGCACTATTCACAATAGCAAAGACTTGGAACCAACCCAAATGTCCAACAATGATAGACTGGATTAAGAAAATGTGGCACATATACACCATGGAATGCTATGCAGCCATAAAAAATGATGAGTTCATGTCCTTTGTAGGGACATGGATGAAGCTGGAAACTATCATTCTCAGCAAACTATCGCAAGGACAAAAAACCAAACACTGCATATTCTCACTCATAGGTGGGAACTGAACAATGAGAACACATGGACACAGGAAGGGGAACATCACACACCGGGGCCTGTTGTGGGATGGGGGGAGTGGGGAGGGATAGCATTAGGATATATACCTAATGTTAAATGATGAGTTAATGGGTGCAGCACACCAACATGGCACATGTATACATATGTAACTAACCTGCACGTTGTGCACATGTACCCTAAAACTTAAAGTATAAAAAAAAAAAAAATTGAAGATGTTTGAGACAGAAGCTAGGGAGAGAAAGATGTGATGAGCTTCTCCCTTATAAGTACAGAAATGCATCTCGCTTCCAGATGCCCTTTAAGCTGAGAAATCAAGAACAATAGATCATGGATGAAGGACATAAGACATTTGTGAAATATTTATATATATATATTTGGTATAGATGGTATGTTTATTACTGTCTTCTTTATTTGCCCCTAAAGATAGATTAGAGATACAATTTTCAATAAAAATCAATACATGATATATTTAGGAGGTAGCAAAAAGGTAGATAGTTTTCAAATTTAGTTTTGTAGAGAGAAGAATCTTGAGAAACAGAGTAGGCAGTGGCTTCTTTGGAAAGGGAAAGGAGACAAGCTCACCTTTGTGTCTTATGAAAACTATGAAAAGTCAAGCCTGAGAAGTTGAGATTTGACACTTGGGGATTAATAGGCTAAACTCTATCCATGCTGGCCACACATGATGTCAGTACACATGCCACTATTTATGATTTCTTTGAAAATGGAATTTCTACTTTTATCTGTCTTTGTTCTTCTAATTGAAGATTATGTTAAGTGTATTTAATTATTGACAGTATGAATGAAAATCTGTGCCTAGCACTGGATCAGTTACAATAAGGAAGTCAAAGAGGCACAAGATATGGTGTCTTCTCAAAAGAAATCTACAAGTTAAATGTAGAGAGAAGACTTGAACTCAGGAACCAAATGAAGAGATGGTGTGAACAGATGTTTGAGTTTACTTAGAACCAATCAGTAATGGAGGAAACAACCCTTGTAGTTGGAAAAGTTTTATAGGATGAGCCTTAAAGTGCATTTTGAATGAAGTGCAAAATTTATTGGTAGGTGTTGGGGGCAATCACTGGTTCAGAAAACAGTAATATGGTAAAAATGTGCATGGTTTCTATGTGTGTATGTGTGAGGTGGGGTCAAGAAAGAGAGAATATTTATGAATTTAACAGCCAAATCTAAGTAAAGATTCCACTGAGGTTTAAAAATATTTACTAAATGCCTAAATAAAAGACACTTAATTATATGTTAAAACAGAAGAAGAATGATTCCGAGTAGAAGATATTTGTTAAGAGCATGGTTAGAAAGCTGGTTAATCAAGGCTAGAAATGGCCATGGCAATTACTAATCAGTATAAAGAAATATTCAAAATTCCGGATGCCCTATAAGACACATGGAAATGTCTGGAGTTTTCCAAAGTGAAGAATTAAAACATTGTGAAATTGTGCCATAGTCATAATTTCATTGGTATTCTTTAGCTATCTCTAAACCTCTTAGTCTTCATTTTCTTTACTTTGACATGGGCCAAAAGACTGAGTGGCCTTCCATATCTGAACACACAGGTCTGCTTGCCTTGTCCTTCTTCACCTTCAACTGGACTGTGAGGTACTGACCACAAAAGGTTTCATCAAATCGTTTAACATCTGTGGGCTTCATGTAGTGGATATGACATAATTAATCAATTAGCAACTTTTCACACACTAAGGCACCTCTTTCAAGTTTTATTCAAGCAGGAGATTGCTCCCTTTCTGCCAAATGGCAGGGGGCATGAAAGTACTTCCACCACTGAAGAGGGACACAGGCAAAGCCAGAGTATAAACATCAGAGGGACAGAGAGGAGGATTCACTCCCAGGGCATAGCTAAACAAGCATCATTTAGAGAATAGGCTATGAAGGAAATTAAGTTTTGAAACTTTTGATGATTTACTTTATTTACTTTGAACAAGTGAATTTAAAGGATCTGAGATATTTTGTGAATTGTATTAACAGGGAAGCACTCATTCTCATACAGTCTGCATCAGATAGAAACGGACAGATGAGAGGATTCAGAATATGATGTAAAACTAGAACAAGAACAGAGACTGCAGACCACTAGAATGGAGTAGTCAGGAAAGGCTCTTCGCTTCATCATACATGAATTATCAGCATGCAGAGAAGAGAGTGGGAGTTAATAAAAAATCATACTTTATAATTTCTTACACTTAATTTTGTAAATATCTGTGCCATGTCAACTGCTTAATGCAATGCATGCTCTTTGTACTAGAGGACAGCTTCAGTTACTAGTAACTAAACTTCTAATTTACACTGAGGTGTTGAGGTAAAGGACTCTTCTCAGTTTATTTACAAATAGATTTCCTTAACCAACAACTGCATTCGAAAGATTGTTGTTTATACCTGAACAAATACAAAGCATTCCTTAGAGAAAGTGCGTGGACCAAGGGTTAAAGCTATCAAGGTTTATGTGTTTGTTCAACAAGTATTTCTTCGGCCAATTTATTGAGATATATGAGCCACAGTGTGCTGGGAGCTGGAGCATGAAACCATACCTGGATATTTCCTTTATCAGTTATCTATTGCTGCAGAGCAAATTACTCTAAACCTGAGCAATTTAAAGCAAATATTTATTCTATTGCAGTTTTTCTGGGTAAGAATCCAGAAGCAGCTTAGCAGAATGGTTCTGATTTAGAGTCTTTCATGAGGCTGCAGTCAGGTTGTTGAGCAGGGCTGAGATCAATTGGAGGAGCTAGAGAATTGGCTCCCAAGCATACCCAGAGGGCCCATGGCAAGACACTTTGGTTTCTTGCCACTTGGGTCCCTCCCTTGGGCTACCCAGGTTATGGCAGCTGGTGTCCTCTAGTGAAAGTGATGAGGGAGAGAGAGGGAGAGGTTGTCAGGAGAAGAGGGGAGGGAAAGCCCAAGTCAGAAATCCCAGTCTTTAATAACCTAACCTTGGAAGTGATGTATCATCACTACAGCTGTATAGGATTGGCCACATAGACCAGCCCTGGTACAACATGCTAGGAGACCACACAGGATATGAATACCAGGATGGGCAATAATTGAGGGCCAGCTTGCAGGCTTTTTACCCTCTTAACTTATAATAGTTACATTATAACTGTAGATATAGACCATAGGAAAGTAAACAAATCAATTACAATCAATAGTTACAGAAGAGGCAACCATGACTTAAGATGAAGCCTGAAGGATGAGAAGGAACTGCTCCTACATAGGGCATACCCAGACACCCACGTTTATATTTTATATTACCGTCATAATAATAGAAATGAAATTAAGGATGAGTGCATGGTTTGTCTAAACATGGAATTTTGCTCCTGCATAAATACTTAAAGGCATGTTGACACAGGGCAGGCAAACCCTAAAATTGGGGCTTAGCCCAGGAGGGTTTTTGGCTTCACCCAGCAAAGAATTCAAGGGTGAGTGGTGGTGTAAGACAGCAATTTTTATTGAAGTGACAGTGCACAGCAACAGAGGTACTGCTCCTTGTGGAGCAGGGTTACCCCATAGGCAGTGTGCCCAGGCTAGCAGCTCAGAGGCAGTTCTGCAGTCATATTTACACCCACTTTTAATTACATGCAAATTAAGGGGTAGGTTATTCAGATATTTCTAAAAAAGGGGGGAGGGGTGGGTGGTAACTTCCAAGTGTTGCCATAGCAATGGTAAACTGACATGACACTGGTGGGCATGTCTTATGGAGAGGTACTTCCACCTCTTCCCTGTCTGAAGTAATCAGAGTTCAAGTCCCTGCCTCCACAGTCAAGTCCTGCCTCCTACCTCAATGTAACCATCCAGCCTGGCTAATTCCACCTGTCTTTCTTGTTGCCCAGGGCCTGCAAGAAAGGACTTTTTGAACTCAATTGAACTCTAAATACAAGGCAGTTGGACTTGAGATTTTCCTGCTATTTGTAATTATGTCATTGTGTTTCATGTTCCAAGGCTGAACTCTAAGAGTGAGCTTACAGAAGGGGAAAAATCATCCAGAAAAGAGAATTAAAAAGCCTTATCATGACTCTTGCACATTTAGAAGTAAAAGTCTGGACAGATTCAACTTTATGGTCCTCTACAAGCCTTCTCCTTTCCAATCAGGGATGCATCTATAATCCATTCATCCACAAGACAAACACTGCTTCTCTTTGTTTAAAAATATTTTTAATTTAATCATCACTGTTGCTGGCTCTGCTTCAGGCCTCATAATAGACAACATTCTTTCTCCATTGAATTAAATTCGCCACCAGGGTTTGCCAGATCTGTGGACTGCACTCTCGACAGAAGCAAACGCTATCCAGAGCGCTCAAAGAAACATCAGTCAGCCTGTCATTGGCATGTTGTTTCTCATATGTAGGAAATGGAAATTGAAAAGGCTGGTCATGTTCAGAAATACTAATATGGCCCACGTAGCCATCTTCGGGTTTTTTAGTTAGAAGATGTTCTGTGCCCCGACCCCTGCCCAGCTCTCATGGCAGATCTTTAAAGACTGGCATTAATCATCTGAGTATCATTTGCTTTGTCCACAGACAAGAGCACTCACTATCTAGATGAAAAAATAATTCCAGAATTAACTGTGCAATGTAAATACAATGCCCAGTGGAATGTAAAAACCTTTGAAGCTATGGCCAAATCAACAATGTACTATGCCTTTTGGATAGAGGAAGAGAAAACCTGGTTCTAGCTAACCCTGACCTTTCAAACTAAGTAGAAATCCAGGGAATAACAATGTGCAGGTATATCATGTGCTACAGGTCCTTGCTGCAACAGTTATGGCCCAAACTGGTCCATCCAGAGTTTGAGTTAATTGCAACCATTGGCTGTTTTTGCAACATGCAAAAAAAAAAAATAGTATCAGAAGGCGAGGTTGCCTTTTATTGCAGATGACCACCCATGTTTAAGGTCCCTGAGCATGTTGACATGGTACCAGAAAATGGCATTGAAAGTACCCATGATACACTTACTGATTCTTTTAATTAATTAGGGCTTAGTCTCAAGAGACTGCTACTTAATTCAGGCTCATCCTAGGTCTTTAGCTATCCTGAGGAACTTTATATTAGGAGGCTGCCATATGTTCACACAATTTAGTTATAGATTTAACTATCAAAACAATGTACTCAGTTATTCAATATTTAAACATAGTGTTTTTTCGTGTTTTCTATTGCAAAGGTTTTCTTTCTTCTGAGGGCCATAGTCAATGTATTAGAATTTTCTTTTCAATGGAAAATTGTATACATTTTCATTCCACAAAGTCAAAGCTGGGCTGTTCTTGTGTCATGAAACTCACTGAAGCAGCTGAGTTATTATATTGGTGAAATTAATTATTAAAATGAAGACATGCTTTGTTCTGCTTTAAAAGAAAGATAAAAGCTTGAACAATTAAAAATGGTTTTCTATTATAGCTAATGTGCAATATGGATTCCAACATAATTAGTTAAGTCTGCAAAATTATTTTTATATTATCTAAGGCTTCATTTAACACATTTATACATTCATTCATTTATTCGCTCAAAAATATTGTCTTCTGAGCACCAAATCTTGTGAAGGAAAATGGAAATATAAAAGTAAGTAAAACTTAGGTCTTGTTGTTTGTAAGCTCTTTACTTAATATATCTATGAATTCCCTTGGTCCAGGAAGTAAACAGGGTGTTAAATGGACCGTCTGTGGTTCTCTTTCCAAAAACCTGACGTTTCTCTGAGAAATATGTTGTACCAATACGTTCACTATTTTGTTCTGGACACAGTCCAAATTTGCCTTATAAAATTTAATTTTACTTAATTGAAATGTGCCTTCTGGTGTTTGCAGTGCTCTAATGAGCATAAATCAATTTATTTAAACCAGAGTCATCTTAAATACTTGTGGGTTTTTTTTATTTGCTTGGTGGCTATATTTTGTTTTTATCAACATTGGTAGATACTAGTTCTTTTAAAAAATGAATTATAATCACATTCCCTTGTAATTATATTTTAGAAAACAGAAAGAAAACTGATGTCGTGTAGTACATTTTGTACAACCAATAAGTATCACTTGATTGGGCAGTTTCTTCCATTTTCCATAAATTGACTTCAGCTTGGAACTTTTCCTAATGACAATAGTTTCCAGTGTCACCTTCATGTATCAAGAGAAAAATCACTGATAATTTTCATGAGAAATTAAATAATTTCTCACTTTGTTTCAAGATGGCATTTCCAATAGAGTAATTGCTCAGAAATGAACAGGATAGAAAAACAGCTGCCGAAAAGGTGAAATGTAAGGAAAACGTACAATGACTTGAAGCTGATACATGTATGTTTCTTTAGGAGATTCTGGTGCTCTTCTAATTGCCTAAGCTGAGGGCTCACCCATCATTGCACCAGGATTCTGCATTGCTTCCCTCAATCTTTTCTTATCATCTTCTACTTCGAATTTAAATTAATAGAAACTTAACTAGCCAAGGGCTCTGGCGCTTTGTGAAAAACTTAACACAGAATGTATCTGCAGGTATAATTCCTTTTTTTTCACAGCCACACTTGGAATCCATAGACAAAACCAAGTCTGTCTGGCCCCATAAAGCTACAAAAATATTTGCAATACCCCCTTGTTTGTCTCCTTATTAATTTTTACTGATTTATGCTTTCTTCTTCCTCCCTCTCACTTTATCAAATTTCTCCATAAGGCCTTAAATAAAAAATCTTTGTGAAAAAAATGTGATTTGAATAGCACTTTTCATCCTCAAAGCCTGTCTTAGCTTATTTATTGATAAGAGGAATGATGTTGTCAATTGTTTAACAATTCACTCATTCATTGACTCAGTTGATCAGTCAGGTTTCAGACTAGAACCAAGGTGGAAGCAGAAGAGTTAAAAATAATTGAGTGAGTTCACTCATGATTTGGCTCTCTGTTTGTCTGTTGTTGGTGTATAAGAATGCTTGTGATTTTTGTACATTGATTTTGTATCCTGAGACTTTGCTGAAGTTGCTTATCAGCTTAAGGAGATTTTGGGCTGAGACAATGGGGTTTTCTAGATATACAATCATGTCGTCTGCACACAGGGACAATTTGACTTCCTCTTTTCCTAATTGAATACCCTTTATTTCCTTCTCCTGCCTAATTGCCCTGGCCAGAACTTCCAACACTATGTTGAATAGGAGTGGTGAGAGAGGGCACCCCTGTCTTGTGCCAGTTTTCAAAGGGAATGCTTCCAGTTTTTGCCCATTCAGTATGATATTGGCTGTGGGTTTGTCATAGATAGCTCTTATTATTTTGAAATACGTCCCATCAATACCTAATTTATTGAGAGTTTTTAGCATGAAGGGTTGTTGAATTTTGTCAAAGGCTTTTTCTGCATCTATTGAGATAATCATGTGGTTTTTGTCTTTGGCTCTGTTTATATGCTGGATTACATTTATTGATTTGCGTATATTGAACCAGCCTTACATCCCAGGGATGAAGCCCACTTGATCATGGTGGATAAGCTTTTTGATGTGCTGCTGGATTCGGTTTGCCAGTATTTTATTGAGGATTTTTGCATCAATGTTCATCAAGGATATTGGTCTAAAATTCTCTTTTTTTGTGGTGTCTCTGCCTGGCTTTGGTATCAGAATGATGCTGGCCTCATAGAATGAGTTAGGGAGGATTCCCTCTTTTTCTATTGATTGGAATAGTTTCAGAAGGAATGGTATCAGTTCCTCCTTGTACCTCTGGTAGAATTCGGCTGTGAATCCATCCAGTCCTGGACTCTTTTTGATTGGTACGCTATTGATTATTGCCACAATTTCAGCTCCTGTTATTGGTCTATTCAGAGATTCAACTTCTTCCTGGTTTAGTCTTGGGAGAGTGTATGTGTCCAGGAATTTATCCATTTCTTCTAGATTTTCCAGTTTATTTGCAGAGAGGTGTTTGTAGTATTCCCTGATGGTAGTTTGTATTTCTGTGGGATCAGTGGTGATATCCCCTTTATCATTTTTTATTGCGTCTATTTGATTCTTCTCTCTTTTTTTCTTCATTAGTCTTGCTAGCAGTCTATCAATTTTGTTGATCCTTTCAAAAAACCAGCTCACAATTGCTTCAAAGAGAATAAAATAGCTAGGAATCCAACTTACAAGGGATGTGAAGGACCTCTTCAAGGAGAACTACAAACCACTGCTCAAGGAAATAAAAGAGGATACAAACAAATGGAAGAACATTCCATGCTCATGGGTAGGAAGAATCAATATGGTGAAAATGGCCATATTGCCCAAGGTAATTTACAGATTCAATGCCATCCCCATCAAGCTACCAATGACCTTCTTCACAGAATTGGAAAAAACTACTTTAAAGTTCATATGGAACCAAAAAAGAGCCCGCATCGCCAAGTCAATCCTAAGCCAAAAGAACAAAGCTGGAGGCATCACACTACCTGACTTCAAACTATACTACAAGGCTACAGTAACCAAAACACCATGGTACTGGTACCAAAACAGAGATATAGATCAATGGAACAGAACAGAGCCCTCAGAAATAACGCCGCATATCTACAACTATCTGATCTTTGACAAACCTGAGAAAAACAAGCAATGGGGAAAGGATTCCCTATTTAATAAATGGTGCTGGGAAAACTGGCGAGCCATATGTAGAAAGCTGAAACTGGATCCCTTCCTTACACCTTATACAAAAATCAATTCAAGATGGATTAAAGATTTAAACGTTAGACCTAAAACCATAAAAACCCTAGAAGAAAACCTAGGCATTACCATTCAGGACATAGGCATGGGCAAGGACTTCATGTCCAAAACACCAAAAGCAATGGCAACAAAAGAGAAAATTGACAAATGGGATCTAATTAAACTAAAGAGCTTCTGCACAGCAAAAGAAACTACCATCAGAGTGAACAGGCAACCTACAAAATGGGAGAAAATTTTCGCAACCTACTCATCTGACAAAGGGCTAATATCCAGAATCTACAATGAACTCAAACAAATTTACAAGAAAAAAACAAACAACCCCAACAAAAAGTGGCCGAAGGACATGAACAGACACTTCTCAAAAGAAGACATTTATGCAGCCAAAAAACACATGAAAAAATGCTCATCATCACTGGCCATCAGAGAAATGCAAATCAAAACCACTATGAGATACCATCTCACACCAGTTAGAATGGCAATCATTAAAAAGTCAGGAAACAACAGGTGCTGGAGAGGATGTGGAGAAATAGGAACACTTTTACACTGTTGGTGGGACTGTAAACTAGTTCAACCATTGTGGAAGTCAGTGTGGCGATTCCTCAGGGATCTAGAACTGGAAATACCATTTGACCCAGCCATCCCATTACTGGGTATATACCCAAATGACTATAAATCATGCTGCTATAAAGACACATGCACACGTATGTTTACTGCGGCATTATTCACAATAGCAAAGACTTGGAACCAACCCAAATGTCCAACAATGATAGACTGGATTACGAAAATGTGGCACATATACACCATGGAATACTATGCAGCCATAAAAAATGGTGAGTTCATGTCCTTTGTAGGGACATGGATGAAATTGGAAATCATCATTCTTAGTAAACTATTGCAAGAACAAAAAACCAAACACCACATATTCTCACTCATAGGTGGGAACTGAACAATGAGATCACATGGACACAGGAAGGGGAATATCACACTCTGGGGACTGTTGTGGGGTGGTGGGAGCGGGGAGGGATAGCATCGGGAGATATACCTAATGCTAGATGACGAGTTAGTGGGTGCAGCGCACCAGCATGGCACATGTACACATATGTAACTAACCTGCACAATGTGCACATGTACCCTAAAACTTAAAAGTATAATAAAAAAATAATAATAATAATTGAGTGACTCCCACAGGAACAATGAGTACCTCTAACTGACCCGATCTCTGTTTCAAGATACTAATTTTATCTATAATCGTCTAGGCTTCCTGGAGAAATAAGTGATTCCAGGTAAAACTTCCAGGCAAGCTTTGGACAGTTTAGTGTGCTGGAAAGCAAAGATCTATTTAAAGCATAATTAAGTTGTGTCAATAGAAGTTAGGATCTGACCAGAAGGGACTCACACTGGTTACATAGGGCATAACTTGAGGGAAAAAAAAAAGACAAACACCAACAGCAATTGCAGCACACTTAACAATAATAATAATAATAATTTAAAAATACTCAGCACCACAAAATACTTGAAAAATGGCAAGCAAACCCTCTCCTTCTCAGAAAAATGCAACATCATAGAATTATGTGGTGATAGAAGTAGGTGATAAAACTAGGAAGTCACTGTTTTTTTTTTTTTTTTTTTTTTTTTTGAGATGGAGTTTTGCTCTTGTTGCCCAGGCTAGAGTACAATGGCTCGATCTCAGCTCACCACAACCTCCGCCTCCCGGGTTCAAGTGATTCTTCTGCTTCAGTCTCCCAAGTAGCTGAGATTACAGGTGTGGGCCACCATGCCCAGCTAATTTTGTAGACGGGGTTTCTCCATGTTTGTCAGGCTGGTCTCAAACTCTTGACCTCAAATGATCCGCCTTCCTTGGCTTCCCAAAGTGCTGAGATTACAGGCGTGAGCCACCTCATCAAGCTGGAAGTCACCAATTTTTAACATCTAACATAATAAAATGATGCATAAAAGACTGACAAATAGAAGTTAAAACCATTGTGTAAAATATTGTGGGGAAAACAGATATTTACAAAATCTCAAAGTGTCACTATCCCAATTATTTACTACTTCAAGGGAAATAGCACCTTTACAATGGAGTGATGACAGTCCACTGGAACCAGATAATCCAATTTAGCATTACCAAGAGTGGTGATGCAGGTCCTTTACATGTGGAGGAGGAGAGCAAAGGAGTCAAAGTGATATACTGTGAGAAAGGTTCACGTGAGCGTTGCTGGCTTTGAAGATGTAAGAGAGCCATGAGTCAAGGAATGCAGGTGGCCTCCAAAAACCCCAAAAGGCAAGACAATGGATTCTCCCCTAAAAGACTGAGAAAGGAATACAGTCCTTCTTATACCTTGATTTTATCCCAATGAGATCCAATACAAACTTCTGACCTCCAGATAATAGGGTGATAAATCTGTGTTGGTTTTAGGGCACTAAATTTGGAGTGATTTGGTATAGTTACAATAGCAAACTAATATACCTATAAAGATCATTTTAGGGACAATTGGTAAATTTGAATATGGACTATACATTAGATGACATTATGAAATTGTTGTTCATGTTATGAGGCGTGTTAATATTATTGTGGTTATATTGGAACATGTCCTCATTCAAGGATATATGTTCTGGAGTATTTAAGGGTGAAGTATCATCAGGGTTGCAGACTTTTAAAAATGATTCTGCAAAAAATACATAAATATGCACGCACAGAGGTAGAAACAGTGAGAGTGAGAGAGAGAGAGGAAATGTGGCAAATATTAACAACTGGTGACTCCAGATGAAGTATATATATATATTTTGTACAAATCTTTGAATTATTCATTAAGGCTTAAAATTTTTCAACATAAAATGTTGGAAGAAAAATCATTTCAGTTATCTGGGAAAATGCATAAGATGAAAGATTTTCTTCTTTCTTTATTCTTATTAATTAACAATGCAAAGTAGTAAATGATGAAGTGTCAAAATGAATGGTACTGAGAGGTTATAAAGATTCATAGACAGAAGAGCACAGCATGGCCCTGAGTTTTGATGAAGGCCTTTTGGAGGAGGTAAAACATGAGTTGAATCTTGAAGAGTAAGTAGAGGAATGGGGATGTGCTTTCCATGAAAAGGATGCAGCAGGAGCGTGTGAGCTACGTGAGGGACTGGGGGAATGGAAGAATGAGCCAAGGGTGGGGGTATGGAGATCTCAATGTGCCACACTGGAATATCAAGGAAAGACCCACAGAGTATGGGTTATTCTCCACACCAGGACAGCTTCGAAAGGGAAAGGAGGTAACAGGTAGGGCAATTTGATGCCAACCAATCCACAGGACCACCCTATTTGAAGGAGACGGACTTGTAAAGATGAGCATTTTCAATGAGCGAATACATGATATTTAGAAAAGGAATCAACTAGAAGAAAAACAGAGCTGTAAGATTTAGGAAGATCAGTTTGGTAGCATGTGATGCATAAAATAGATTTGGAGGAATCTTGGATCAGAGACTTGGGAAGCAGTTAGGATATTGTTTCTGTAATCTGGTGTGAGGGGACCAATGTCTTGCCCCAGCAGAAAAGCCAAAGTTAGATTTTTCTCTTTCTTCATTTATTTTTATTTTTTTGGAAGGAAGGGTTTGAGGAGAGGTTTTTATTTGGTCTGTTTTATTTAAATATGCTTTCAACCTGCCATCCTCCCAAAGAGCTTCCTTATATCTATCTAGAAAATAGAATGTTTACCTAGTTGGGGGAAGGAGTGCTTGGCTCTTGCTCCTCAGATGGTTTCACAACTATCTTGCGCAAGTCCTGTGTTCTTTCCTTTGCTTCAAGGGGGGTGCGCTTTCGAATCTCAAAAGAAAGTGATTCCTTTCTTCCTGTGTATACTGTCTGTCACCCCACCTTTGAAACATTAAATGAAGGCTACCCTAGCTGAATGAATGTGGGAAGAGCCAAGGGATATAATAAACAAACAAGGGTAAAAACAACATAAACAGCATTCCAAAATATCAGTCCACCAAAATTAGAATAACATGTAAGAAATGTTTTATCATCTGTAGGTATGAAATGCTATGAGAAAACAAGAGAAATCTCCCCGGACAGTGGGCAAAAGAAGGTGTTAATAAAAGAGTCTCACAAATGAGAGTCAAATAAATAGAATGACTATTTTATTTCAGCCTTAAAGAATAAATAGGCATTTATCTTTAGACAGGCAAGAGGGAGAAAAACAAGAGGTACAACAGCAGCAGAGGAAGAGCAGAGCAGCAAGTAAGATGTCAAGCTCTGAAATCAGACAGGACAAGCCTAGGTTCCAATTGTGATTTACCAGCTCTAAGCTGGGTAATCCTGGACGGTTAGTTAAGCTCTCTTAGCCTCGGTTTGCTCATTTGTAAAATGGGTTATGATAATACAGATTTTTTTTTATTATACTTTAAGTTTTAGGGTACATGTGCACATTGTGCGGGTTAGATACATATGTATACATGTGCCATGCTGGTGTGCTGCACCCACTAACTCATCATCTAGCATTAGGTATATCTCCCGATGCTATCCCTCCCCCCTCCCCCCACCCCACAACAGTCCCCAGAGTGTGATGTTCCCCTTCCTGTGTCCATGTGATCTCATTGTTCAATTCCCACCTATGAGTGAGAATATGCGGTGTTTGGTTTTTTGTTCTTGCGATAGTTTACTGAGAATGATGATTTCCAATTTCATCCATGTCCCTACAAAGGACATGAACTCATCATTTTTTATGGCTGCATAGTATTCCATGGTGTATATGTGCCACATTTTCTTAATCCAGTCTATCATTGTTGGACATTTGGGTTGGTTCCAAGTCTTTGCTATTGTGAATAATGCCGCAATAAACATACGTGTGCATGTGTCTTTATAGCAGCATGATTTATAGTCATTTGGGTATATACCCAGTAATGGGATGGCTGGGTCAAATGGTATTTCCAGTTCTAGATCCCTGAGGAATCGCCACACTGACTTCCACAATGGTTGAACTAGTTTACAGTCCCACCAACAGTGTAAAAGTGTTCCTATTTCTCCACATCCTCTCCAGCACCTGTTGTTTCCTGACTTTTTAATGATTGCCATTCTAACTGGTGTGAGATGGTATCTCATAGTGGTTTTGATTTGCATTTCTCTGATGGCCAGTGATGATGAGCATTTTTTCATGTGTTTTTTGGCTGCATAAATGTCTTCTTTTGAGAAGTGTCTGTTCATGTCCTTCGCCCACTTTTTGATGGGGTTATTTTTTTTTTCTTGTAAATTTGTTTGAGTTCATTGTAGATTCTGGATATTAGCCCTTTGTCAGATGAGTAGGTTGCGAAAATTTTCTCCCATTTTGTAGGTTGCCTGTTCACTCTGATGGTAGTTTCTTTTGCTGTGCAGAAGCTCTTTAGTTTAATTAGATCCCATTTGTCAATTTTCTCTTTTGTTGCCATTGCTTTTGGTGTTTTGGACATGAAGTCCTTGCCCATGCCTATGTCCTGAATGGTAATGCCTAGGTTTTCTTCTAGGGTTTTTATGGTTTTAGGTCTAACGTTTAAATCTTTAATCCATCTTGAATTGATTTTTGTATAAGGTGTAAGGAAGGGATCCAGTTTCAGCTTCCTACATATGGCTATCCAGTTTTCCCAGCACCATTTATTAAATAGGGAATCCCTTCCCCATTGCTTGTTTTTCTCAGGTTTGTCAAAGATCAGATAGTTGTAGGTATGCGGCGTTATTTCTGAGGGCTCTGTTCTGTTCCATTGATCTATATCTCTGTTTTGGTACCAGTACCATGGTGTTTTGGTTACTGTAGCCTTGTAGTATAGTTTGAAGTCAGGTAGTGTGATGCCTCCAGCTTTGCTCTTTTGGCTTAGGATTGACTTGGCGATGCAGGCTCTTTTTTGGTTCCATATGAACTTTAAAGTAGTTTTTTCCAATTCTGTGAAGAAAGTCATTGGTAGCTTGATGGGGATGGCATTGAATCTGTAAATTACCTTGGGCAGTATGGCCATTTTCACGATATCGATTCTTCCTACCCATGAGCATGGAATGTTCTTCCATTTGTTTGTATCCTCTTTTATTTCCTTGAGCAGTGGTTTGTAGTTCTCCTTGAAGAGGTCCTTCACATCCCTTGTAAGTTGGATTCCTAGGTATTTTATTCTCTTTGAAGCAATTGTGAATGGGAGTTCACTCACGATTTAGCTCTCTGTTTGTCTGTTGTTGGTGTATAAGAATGCTTGTGATTTTTGTACATTGATTTTGTATCCTGAGACTTTGCTGAAGTTGCTTATCAGCTTAAGGAGATGTTGGGCTGAGACGATGGGGTTTTCTAGATATACAATCATGTCATCTGCACACAGGGACAATTTGACTTCCTCTTTTCCTAATTGAATACCCTTTATTTCCTTCTCCTGCCTAATTGCCCTGGCCAGAACTTCCAACACTATGTTGAATAGGAGTGGTGAGAGAGGGCACCCCTGTCTTGTGCCAGTTTTCAAAGGGAATGCTTCCAGTTTTTGCCCATTCAGTATGATATTGGCTGTGGGTTTGTCATAGATAGTTCTTATTATTTTGAAATACGTCCCATCAATACCTAATTTATTGAGAGTTTTTAGCATGAAGGGTTGTTGAATTTTGTCAAAGGCTTTTTCTGCATCTATTGAGATAATCATGTGGTTTTTGTCTTTGGCTCTGTTTATATGCTGGATTACATTTATTGATTTGCGTATATTGAACCAGCCTTGCATCCCAGGGATGAAGCCTACTTGATCATGGTGGATAAGCTTTTTGATGTGCTGCTGGATTCGGTTTGCCAGTATTTTATTGAGGATTTTTGCATCAATGTTCATCAAGGATATTGGTCTAAAATTCTCTTTTTTGGTTGTGTCTCTGCCCGGCTTTGGAATCAGAATGATGCTGGCCTCATAGAATGAGTTAGGGAGGATTCCCTCTTTTTCTATTGATTGGAATAGTTTCAGAAGTAATGGTACCAGTTCCTCCTTGTACCTCTGGTAGAATTCGGCTGTGAATCCATCTGGTCCTGGACTCTTTTTGGTTGGTAAACTACTGATTATTGCCACAATTTCAGCTCCTGTTATTGGTCTATTCAGAGATTCAACTTCTTCCTGGTTTAGTCTTGGGAGAGTGTATGTGTCGAGGAATTTATCCATTTCTTCCAGATTTTCTAGTTTATTTGCATATAGGTGTTTGTAGTATTCTCTGATGGTAGTTTGTATTTCTGTGGGATCAGTGGTGATATCCCCTTTATCATTTTTTATTGTGTCTATTTGATTCTTCTCTCTTTTTTTCTTTATTAGTCTTGCTAGCAGTCTATCAATTTTGTTGATCCTTTCGAAAAACCAGCTCCTGGATTCATTGATTTTTTGAAGGGTTTTTTGTGTCTCTATTTCCTTCAGTTCTGCTCTGATTTTAGTTATTTCTTGCCTTCTGCTAGCTTTTGAATGTGTTTGCTCTTGCTTTTCTAGTTCTTTTAATTGTGATGTTAGGGTGTCAATTTTGGATCTTTCCTGCTTTCTCTTGTGGGCATTTAGTGCTATAAATTTCCCTCTACACACTGCTTTGAATGCGTCCCAGAGATTCTGGTATGTTGTGTCTTTGTTCTCGTTGGTTTCAAAGAACATCTTTATTTCTGCCTTCATTTCGTTATGTACCCAGTAGTAATTCAGGAGCAGGTTGTTCAGTTTCCATGTAGTTGAGCGGCTTTGAGTGAGATTCTTAATCTTGAGTTCTAGTTTGATTGCACTGTGGTCTGAGAGATAGTTTGTTATAATTTCTGTTCTTTTACATTTGCTGAGGAGAGCTTTACTTCCAAGTATGTGGTCAATTTTGGAATGGGTGTGGTGTGGTGCTGAAAAAAATGTATATTCTGTTGAATTGGGGTGGAGAGTTCTGTAGATGTCTATTAGGTCCGCTTGGTGCAGAGCTGAGTTCAATTCCTGGGTATCCTTGTTGAATTTCTGTCTCGTTGATCTGTCTAATGTTGACAGTGGGGTGTTAAAGTCTCCCATTATTAATGTGTGGGAGTCTAAGTCTCTTTGTAGGTCACTCAGGACTTGCTTTATGAATCTGGGTGCTCCTGTATTGGGTGCATATATATTTAGGATAGTTAGCTCTTCTTGTTGAATTGATCCCTTTACCATTATGTAATGGCCTTCTTTGTCTCTTTTGATCTTTGTTGGTTTAAAGTCTGTTTTATCAGAGACTAGGATTGCAACCCCTGCCTTTTTTTGTTTTCCATTTGCTTGGTAGATCTTCCTCCATCCTTTTATTTTGAGCCTATGTGTGTCTCTGCATGTGAGATGGGTTTCCTGAATACAGCACACTGATGGGTCTTGACTCTTTATCCAATTTGCCAGTCTGTGTCTTTTAATTGGAAAATTTAGTCCATTTACTTTAAATTTAATATTGTTATGTGTGAATTTGATCCTGTCATTATGATGTTAGCTGGTGATTTTGCTTGTTAGTTGATGCAGTTTCTTCCTATTCTCGATGGTCTTTACATTTTGGCATGATTTTGCAGCGGCTGGTACTGGTTGTTCCTTTCCATGTTTAGCGCTTCCTTCAGGAGCTCTTTTAGGGCAGGCCTGGTGGTGACAAAATCTCTCAGCATTGGCTTGTCTGTAAAGTATTTTATTTCTCCTTCACTTATGAAGCTTAGTTTGGCTGGATATGAAATTCTGGGTTGAAAATTCTTTTCTTTAAGAATGTTGAATATTGGCCCCCACTCTCTTCTGGCTTGTAGGGTTTCTGCCGAGAGATCCGCTGTTAGTCTGATGGGCTTCCGTTTGAGGGTAACCCAACCTTTCTCTCTGGCTGCCCTTAACATTTTTTCCTTCATTTCAACTTTGGTGAATCTGACAATTATGTGTCTTGGAGTTGCTCTTCTCGAGGGGTATCTTTGTGGCGTTCTCTGTATTTCCTGAATCTGAACGTTGGCCTGCCTTGCTAGATTGGGGAAGTTCTCCTGGATAATATCCTGCAGAGTGTTTTCCAACTTGGTTCCATTCTCCCCATTACTTTCAGGTACACCAATCAGACGTAGATTTGGTCTTTTCACATAGTCCCATATTTCTTGGAGGCTTTGCTCACGAGCCTTGGTTTTCAGCTCCATCAGCTCCTTTAAGCACTTCTCTGTATTGGTTATTCTAGTTATACATTCTTCTAAATTTTTTTCAAAGTTTTCAACTTCTTTGCCTTTGGTTTGAATGTCCTCCCGTAGCTCAGAGTAATTTGATCGTCTGAAGCCTTCTTCTCTCAGCTCGTCAAAGTCATTCTCCATCCAGCTTTGTTCCGTTGCTGGTGAGGAACTGCGTTCCTTTGGAGGAGGAGAGACGTTCTGCGTTTTAGAGTTTCCAGTTTTTCTGTTCTGTTTTTTCCCCATCTTTGTGGTTTTATCTACTTTTGGTCTTTGATGATGGTGATGTACAGATGGGTTTTCGGTGTGGATGTCCTTTCTGTTTGTTAGTTTTCCTTCTAACAGACAGGACCCTCAGCTGCAGGTCTGTTGGAATACCCTGCCGTGTGAGGTGTCAGTGTGCCCCTGCTGGGGGGTGCCTCCCAGTTAGGCTGCTCGGGGGTCAGGGGTCCGGGACCCACTTGAGGAGGCAGTCTGCCAGTTCTCAGATCTCCAGCTGCGTGCTAGGAGAACCACTGCTCTCTTCAAGGCTGTCAGACAGGGACATTTAAGTCTGCAGAGGTTACTGCTGTCTTTTTGTTTGTCTGTGCCCTGCCCCCAGAGGTGGAGCCTACAGAGGCAGGCAGGCCTCCTTGAGCTGTGGTGGGCTCCACCCAGTTCGAGCTTCCCGGCTGCTTTGTTTACCTAAGCAAGCCTGGGCAATGGCGGGCGCCCCTCCCCCAGCCTCACTGCCGCCTTGCAGTTTGATCTCAGACTGCTGTGCTAGCAATCAGCGAGATTCCGTGGGCCTAGGACCCTCCGAGCCAGGTGTGGGATATAGTCTCGTGGTGCGCCGTTTTTTAAGCCGGTCTGAAAAGCGCAATATTCGGGTAGGAGTGACCCGATTTTCCAGGTGCGTCCGTCACCCCTTTCTTTGACTCGGAAAGGGAACTCCCTGCCCCCTTGCGCTTCCCAGGTGAGGCAATGCCTCGCCCTGCTTGGGCTCGCACACAGTGCACGCACCAACTGGCCTACGCCCACTGTCTGGCACTCCCTAGTGAGATGAACCCGGTACCTCAGATGGAAATGCAGAAATCACCCGTCTTCTGCGTTGCTCACGCTGGGAGCTGTAGACCGGAGCTGTTCCTATTCGGCCATCTTGGCTCCTCCGATAATACAGATTTTATAGCTTGTGTGTGAAGAAAAAAATAGATGACGCATATAAAACACTAAGCACTAAACTAGCATTAACAGAATTAAGGTAATGACAGTAGGGGAGATAAGATTTGAGCTTTATTTTGGGCAGATGAAAGATTTGGTGCCTGACAAGATATGGGAACAGTGGAGACAGGAAGTGAATTAAAGATGGATTCCAGTCTGGGCAATGGGCAGTGACCAATTTAGGCAAGGAGGGCCAGGTTTCTGAGAAGCAGTGAAATCATTCTGGTTTACAGGTGGTGAGACAGAGATTTTGTAGCACAGTCATGTGAAAGCACTCTTAGCTGCTAGAAATATGTGTAATAGGACCGAGTGCCCTCTCCCTTTTCCAATACAAACTAATAATGCTGAATTGATCTTCCTAATGCAAAGCTCACACAATGAAAAGACACTGATCACTGCCAAGCCTAAATAGCTCCAAAAATGTCAGAATGTAGAGTTAATTAAAGCAGTGAATCATTATTAAACATATTTATCTGTATCAGAAACTATGCTAGGAAGTTATAGGTTACGGTGCCAACAACAGTCCATTATTTCATTATTTATTCCTCCCCACGGTGGACAGGGGGCATTTTAACATAAAAAGGCATTGAAGTCATATTGGGAGAAGCAAAAAATAGTATTAAATGGGAAGTGTATTTGTCTTTTTGCTGCTGCATTCTGAAGAATTAAGATCCACTGTTTGCCTCCAGAATAGAACTGTTAGTGTGTCTTTCTTTGGCTGACTGCGGGATGCTGGCCAGATAGAGCTATGAGCCAGAAAAAGGCAAAAAGATGGAAAATGAAGAAATGCAGCAGATCCAGTGAGTAAGTACACAGTTGAGGAGGTTTCTGTATAACATGAAAGGCCACATCATGGGCACAGAACAGAATTCTTTTGTACCTTCTTTTTAACCCTCAGAATTGTTGTAAGCAATTACCAGAAAGAAGGAATTCTTCTAGCAATAGATTGTCCTTGTGTGCCATCCTGATATAGTAGAAGAGGACAGTAACACTGGGGTCTGGCACTCAGGAGTGAAGTTAGGAGTAGAATGCAGCTTTGGGGATCGTTGAAGTCAGAGATTTGGTAAAATCACCTGGGAAGAGCATAGATTGAGAAAAGAGAGCTTGAAGGATATGCCTGAAGAAAAGATTAAGTTTTAATGTGGACTTGAATAAAAAATTCACCAAATAAGACTGGGCAGAGTGCCTAGAGAGGCAGGGAAGAATCTGAGAAAAAGGGGTGTGAATGAGAAGAAAGAGAAAGAAAAACTTCCACTGGATTGTGTCATTGTTCTACTTGCAGTCATCAACAAACCAATTTTAGCCTCCTGGAGATGGCAAAAACCAGATTTTAGTAGGCTGAAGTAATAAGGAATTAGTAAAGGCAGCAAGCACAGAACATTCTTTTAAGAAATATGGCTGTGAATGTATGAAGTATTCATAGGATTATACTTAGAAGAAAACACTGACAAGAGGGCAGCAAATTGCTGACATAGAAGAGGATGAAGCATGTTTACACGTAGAGGTGTCTATTTGTAGCTAAGGATGTCAGTGGATGTTTCTAATGTTGTTTGCATGTTTGCTGTGTCTTTGACTAAAATAACAGCATGAACTCTAAATTAGGCATGCATTGTTTTGAAAAGATGCTGGTGTCAAAGCCCCAGTTGTCATCTGACAGGTCTTGTGGAAAAGTAAACAAAACAAACAAACAAAAAAGGAAGAAACACATATAGCATTGGAACTGAGCAACTGTCAAATAGGAAAGTGTAGTTTTCAGTATTCTTTATTCAACTCACACTCCTGTTTCCAGTGACATTTCTAAAGCCCCACATCCCCTTTGCTAGAACTGCACTGCCCTGATTTGCCTTTCCTTCTGCTGGGAAACCTGTTGTGATAAAGACATTTATGTTAACTCTCTTTCCTCCCTTTCTATAAATACATACCTATTCTTCTCTTTACTATATCCCTTCTTACCTTTGTGAGTGACAGTGTAACTAGCTAACTCACTTATATGGCACATCTATTATATGCCAGTTCCATAAAACTGCTAGGAGATCAAGGGAAAATAGCTCCGGTTATGTTCTCAGTTACCAAATTTAAGTAGAGTGAAGTACATCAGAATCATCTAAGTAGATATTTCAAAATATACCTGCTTCCCAGAAATTTGATAGGCTTCCAGATATAGCTCCTTCCTCCTCCCTCTCTACCTTCGAGGAATCACAACACCAGAAACCACTGGTAGTGTTAGAAATGTTCCATGCCTATCAAGCGTGTTGTCTGCCACTGATTTCAAAAGAGTGGGATACATATAAACAAACCATTACAACACAGTAGACTAATTTAATCTCACATGTTATTCGCTAATTCTTCAAGTGGAGTTCTCTTGGGAAGGCATCAGATAAGCCACAAGGAGAACTTTCTAAACAACTCCAAAGGTCCTTAGAACTATCAGGAATGAAAAGTCACAGGAAACGGCTGGTTAAGTGGGGCCTTGGTGTTGTTTTAATTAATATATTCAAGGATATGCTACCTGGATATCTGGATTCTGAGTGATTCAACTTTTCTGAAGTAAGCAGTATGTGCTAGACCAGCTAAAATTCATTAATAAAATGAATTCTCTGTCAACAATAATAATTGCTCTCTAAGGGGAGCCAAGGACACTAAATAGTATGATAATCATGTTCTGCTGGGAGTAAACCTGTGGGCTAGAAGGAGGGGCACACAAGAGGCACATGTAATGATTCTAAAAAGAGTTAAGGAGGACTTCCTGTAGGAGGTTTTCTGTGACAATGAGTTTTTGTAGTTCAGCAGAGGCATTAAATGCTTTAACAGAAAAGAATGGCCAAAAATTGAAATTTTGGATCACGGACAAGTTGGTAGGTGTCTTAGTCTTTGTTGTGTTGCTATAACAGAATATCACAAACTGAGTAACTTTAAGTGAATAGAAATTTATTTGGCTCATGATTCTAGAGTCTGAGAAACCCAAAGTCAAGGGAGCTACCTCTGAGGAGGGCCTTCTTACTGCATGATTCCATGGTTGAAGCAGGAAGGGCAAGAAAGCACATAAGAGATGGACAGAGACAGACGGACAAAGAGGGAGTGAGAGAGTGCCAAACTCTCATTTATAACAACCCACTCCTGCAATAAAGACATTAATCCATTCACGAGGGCAGAGCTTCATGGCCTAATTACCTCGTAACAGTCCTACCTAATACTGCCACAATGGTCATTAAATGCCAACATGGGTTTTGGAGGGGACGTTCAAACCAAAGCAGTAGGTGTTTTGTTCTTACAGGTCTCTGGGCCCCAGTTACACTAAGCACATCACATAGGCCCTGTCTACACTCTGCTTGGTTGGAAGGACAGATCACATCAATCAGAAAATTCCCTTAGAGAAACTGATGCTCCCTAGAGTTAGAAACATGCGTGGATGAATTTTACTATGAGGGATTTTCAGATTCTGTACTCCCCCTTTCCTATTGAATTTACTCCAAAGGGAATGTAGAACAAAAACTAAGAATAAATCAGCCATTTTTTCTTATTGCAGCTGTGACTACTACTAAAAAGCAAAAGTCTACAAGAAATAACCTTGATTCATAATGCTATGCATACTGGGTGAATGGCTCAATAAAACACAATATTTCAGATGGATTGCTGTGCCAGGATGACATCACAGGCGGGGATGAACAGAGAGTGCTCCATACATAACAATGCGGAGCACATCGTAGAATGATGAGGACTGTTAGCAATACGTTTATTGTGTCTTAATTGATGTAAATGGCCTTTGAGACATGTGCAATAGGAACACATTCATGAAGGAACACAAATAAAAAGCTCTGCTTTTCCCACCAGTAATGTTATTTTATCAAAAAAGAAGTAAGTCCAACTGAAGCTGAGAGTAAATAGTTTTTTTTAGAGGCATGTAGCAAACAACACAAAAATCTCAAAACAGAAGGGACAAAATAATTAACACTTCAGAATTACTTTTGATAGGGAGCAGCAAACATCTCAATTGAATCTGCCTCACTGTTTTGCAGAACTCTACAAATTACAAAAATCAGAAATCTGTAAAACATAAAGTCTGTCTTTAGACATTTCTACTTTTGCTAATACAGATCCACTATTTTCCTCTTAAATGCTAAATTGGTCTTTTTGATTCATAAGTCATACATTGAAATGGCAGTGATCATTGCCAAAATCAAACGGTTCCAAATAATGTCAAAATGCAGACTACATAATAGCTAACTATCTATTAAACATTTTTTACTGAGCAAAGAACTGTGCTAAGGGATGATATATTATAGTGCCAGCCACTATATATTATTTCATTATTTGATCCTTATAAAAACCTCAGATGGCATTTATTATCCCCCTTTTACAGATATGAAAAAAGCAATACTGATTATTAAGCAATTGCTCAGGGTTACATAATTAGAATGAAATAAAATTCAGAACATACACTCAAATGAAAATAAAACCAGAACATACTCTCAAACAGGGCTGTTGCCAATGTCCATGCTAGATCCCTGAATGGAATCTGGCCAGAGAAAAACATTTCAATTATTCATTAAGTCGATTGCTCAGTCTCCAGTTCTATGTTGTACTCTGAGTTTGGGGGTGGGCAAGCTGTGTGTGTAGGGCCTGGGAGTTCTGAACACATGGATCTGTTTTTTTTTTTTTAACTTTTAGTCCCATGTTGGATTCAAGGCATAAATGTGTTAGGCAATTAGTGAATAAGGAATGTTTTCAAAATTGAAACAAAAATACAAAAGTATTATACAATCAACAATGAGGAGTCCATCATCTTCCTTTTTCTGCAGCCTTACTACCACCACAAGTCACAGAGTACTTGAAGTTATTGCCCTTCCTCCCATGTGTAGAGCTCCATTTAGACTCTTTCAACCCCATGTCTTTTTGATAAGACTAAATAACAGGAAGCCGAACCTCATCTAAGCTTGGAACACTGCTTAGATTCTGTGCCTTGACTTGAGTGACCATACCTGAGCCAGCACCTGGGCCAGTCAGCTTAGTTCGTCTGATCAAACTTCTAGAGCAGGATACCATAATAACCAGCATGACTCCCCTTTTTGGCAACATTGTGTTGCTTCTCTCTTTTAGTCTTAGTGCTAGGTTTGACCTCCTTATGAAAACCTGGAAAAAGAAGAAAAATATCAAGGTGCGTGTTGTAGAGCTAGGAGGACTCAGAATGACGTGAGACTCAAGGCAGTAACTTGAGCAGAAGATTGAGGGGTGTAGACACATGGATATAAGGAAGGAGTTTCAAAGAAAATGATTGTCAGTAGGAACATAAAATGTTTATTTATTTGTTGATTTAACAAATGAATGTGCCTACTTTGAATAAGGAAGTTGTATCAGGCAGGAAGAAATGAACTAGTCATGGATTCTTTCCTCCAAGAGCTGCTAATCTGTTCAGAGATATCATGCATGGGGCATAGAAAACTAAAAAAAAATAAGGCATTCAGCTAAGGCTGTCTGTACTAGTGGTGTAGGTAAAATGTTATGGACAATCAAGATCCAGTTCAAATGCAACAATTCTATGACCTGGAGGGCATCTCTCTAATATCTGAAAGATGGGTAAAAATTGGATATATGGAATTGTGATAGAATGGAAAAGAAGTTCTAGTTGGAGGAACTAATAAGAGCAAAGATGACATAATTTGGCATGTACAGGGAAAAGCAGGTGGTTCAGTTTGGTTGGTGCAGAAGGCATGAGAGTGGGACTATTTGGAAGAAAGCCTGCCTCTGCTGTGCCATGTATCAGCATCCAGTACAAATGTCCTCCCTCCCTGCCACCCTCACCTCATGCTCAGCATATACACTGACTTGCTATCCTTGACTTCTCTCACTCTCAGCTTCCCAGACTGGACTTTGTTCCTGTTTATAAGTGTTTGGTAAGCCCACAGACCAATCACTTCCACCTGTTTAGGGTAGTGTCTACTCCAAAGTACCATGAGAAGGTCTGCGAGGACCTGGACAGTGGAACAGGGAGAGATGATATAAGGACCTGTGTAGAGCCTGATGCAGTGGCAGGCTCCCAGATGGGAGGTCACGTGGTAGATGAGGTCTTCATCCAACACCCAGTTATTCACTTAGCCCGGGATGGCACAATTCTGATGGACACATCTGATGGGCTTTCACAGCTCAAAGGCTTGTCACTTTATAATGAGCATGATAGAATCACACTACAATGGTATTTCATGCAAATGGTTGGACCCATGTGACTTGAGATCAATGACCCCATTATTTTTAAGAGCATTCTGCACTATCGGTGCTTTTGTCCTCTCTCCTATATTGTTACTGTATGTCCCACTCCGCAGCCTCCTTTTCTGCTTCCCCAAAAGACTAGAACACAGATTATTGTGATTTAAGGAACTTAATGCCACTAAGTATCTTGAAGGAACATATTTTCAACTATCAGATATTGCGAAATTTTCAGAAATATATAAAGCCCTGAAAGTCATGACCTCTAGTTTTGGGTTCCTTGATAAGAATGTAAATTAGGTATACCAGATGCCTACAGTCATCTCGTATTTGAAGGGATGTTATCCGAGATTCCAACCTTCACCCCAAACCAAAGTTACTAGATATACTGACCTTCTCAAAAATCCCCTTCCTGGGAAGAAATACAAAATGTCTTATAATTGATTCAAAGTTGGGGACATGCCCTCAGCCGGGCCAGTGAAAATAATTCTCAACACTTTTTTGGAGCTATTGGGAAAATCTCCCACCGGCATTACAAAACTAGTGAGATGCAAGCCTGGAGCTGTCTGTGTTCATCTTTGCCACCAAGTTAAGAAGAATCTGTTTACTTGTTTACTAAGTTAAGAAAGAAGCCAACATAAAAAGAAGTATAGCTAAGAGCTGGGATCAGAGAAGAAAAATGAGAAAGGGAGAAAATACAACTTGGTATAATTTTAGTCCTTGAAAAGAGCCATATGTGAAAACAGCTAATTTCTGAGCTTTATCTCATGGACTCTTTAGTTAAAATAGTCAACTTAGTTTCTTTTTTTATTATTTACATTTACATTTGCATTCATATTTATAGTTATTTTATTAGCTTAAATTAATTTGATTTGGATTACTTATAAATGTAACAACCTTAATGCAAATAGCTAGTGGATAATTTGCATTTCTGATAGTCTCCAGATAAGATGACTTGCATCAGAGAGACTTCATGTTATGAAAAAACATGGCCACCTTGGGACATTTCTTTGCCCATACCTTGCACCTCAGACCTCTGTGACCTTAACTCCTTGAATAATATCTTGTACATAGTAGACTCTCATTGTTTGCTTTGTCATAGGATAATAAAGGGGTGGGCATTAGAGGTCAGTGAAATAGCACAACTTTTTAGGTTAGGATGAACACTGTGGCTTATATTGTTATTTATTTAATTATTGTTTTAGAGACAGGGGTCTTGCTCTGCCCCCCAGGCTGGAGTGCAGTGGTATGATCATAGCTCACTGCAGCCTTGGACTTCTGGGCTTAAGTGGGTCTCCCCCACCAGCCTCCCAACAATGGCTTATATTCATAAGAGAAACAAATCTGTGTGCATTGAAAGACTCATAGTATGGAATGATATAAAATAAGTAAACAATATAAAACTTGACCTTTACCAGCTCCCCTCAGTGGGAGCCATTGATTCCTGTCACCTGCAGGCTCAGCAACATTCCATTTCCCAGCTGAGCCTGACTGGGGTTGAGTGTGAAGCCTCAGCTCAACTAGCTGTCAACACTGGGAATTAGCCTTGTTTCCATCAAACCAGGTATCTGGGTAATTGGAGTAATTACGAGGCACAGGCTTGCCTACCAGATACTCGTTTAAAAAAAAAATTCCTTACCTCTCTTCTACAAATTTAGGTTCAGCTTCAGGATTCCAGATTCTCACTGGGCTTTTCATGAACTTAAGGACGCCTAGCTGCTTAGCCATGGCTGGCTTCAACTTTGGAATCAGATTCACATGCAAGCTTTACACAGGTAGTATCTTCCCTTATGCCTATGCTAGAGGCCTTGTGAATTCAGTAATTTGGATCATTTCAGGAGAAAGGGCAGGTAATACTTAGACTTTCTCTTTAATAGCCTGCACAATATTTTATCTGGATTTTCTCAGATATTAACTCCTGCCCACACCAGACACTAGTCACTATGCTCCTTTGAGCACTGAGCTGTTACACCCTTTGGCTGTCCTCAATCAGGCTCTGACTCCAGTGCTATGGTTTGGTTGTGGTTGGTCCCCATCAAAACTGATATGGAAATTTGATCCCAGATTGGCAATGTTGGGAGCTGGGGCCTAGTGAAAGGTGTCTGGGTCGTGAGGGTAAATTACTCGTGAATGGTTTTCCCTCTATCAAGAATAGATTATTCTGACTAAAAGCAGTTAGTTAAAAAGAGTCTGGCTTCCTTGGTTTCTCTCTATTGCTTCTCCTTTTGCCAACTGATTTCTTTCTTGATGCCACTCCTCTTCCATTTTCCACCATGAGTTGAGGGAGCCTGAGGCCATCATCAGTTGAAGCTGCCCAATCTTGAACCTTCCAGCCACCAGAATCATGAGCCAAATAAACCTCTTTCCTTTTGAAATTACCCAGCCTCAGGTATGCTGTGATAGCAACACTAAATGGTCTAAGTCACCCAGCCTGTAGCATGACCAGCCCATCTTTCCCTTCTTCCTATCATTTTGGTTTCTGAGCCACAAATGTCAGGTATCTCTGCCTGATTTATCATGGTCAGGAGGCAAAGGAGCTTACTTTTTCATATGAAATCAAACTGATAGAATGGGGACAACTTCAAAAGCTATGCAGCAATGTTTAGTTTTTATTTTAGTGAGAAATGGGGAGCTATCACATGTTTTTGAAACATGTAGTAAAGATAAAAGTGATGGGTTTTCCCTTAATGCAGAAGTGATAATTAATGCATTCTTTTTCACTTCCTTTTCTTAGAGACTTGTTCCTTCACCACAAAATCAGCAAGATATTTTCTTTAAGTAATACAACATCACATACACTTCACCTTAGGTGATTGGACCAGGGTAGAAACCTGACCAGAGCTGAATCTATCTGAAGAAGGAAAGCAGAGAGACTGCATCAGCTAGATGAATGGTCAAGAAATTTTTTCTATATAAGGCCAGATGGTAAAAATTCTGTTTTTGTGAGCCAGTCACACTGTCACAGCTACTCTGTCACTGTAGCATACAAGAAGCTGCAAATAATACACAAGTGAATGGGAATGACTGTGTTTCAATAAAAATGTATTTAGATAACAGGTGCCAGTCACACTTTGACCTGTGGACTGTAATTTACTGAGCCCTGAGTCACATCCTGGTGAGTGTTTGAACTGAAAGATCAAATTGGGTAAGGATGCAGCCATTTGTGGTCATGTACATGCTGATGATTAATCAAAGAAAGCCAATAGTGAGACAGAAACATGATAGAGGAGTAGACTGGTAGAGAGAGCAGAGAAGGTACATCAAAACTCTGAGAGATGGTGGGGAGAGCCTTGGGTCCCTGCATTCCTGGTCAAATCCCATGTGGTTCAGCTGTTCTTTATTTCTTAATCCTAGATATCTATGAGGATGTCTTATAGATACAGATATAGAACAAGGTTGATCAGTATAACCCTTCTTAAGTTAGTTTTAATAGTTTCCTATTTCTAATCACTCCCACAAACCTCTGATAAGACAGGAATTATGCCCGTTGGGATTCTTGGTTGCAAACAATGTCAAACCTGGTGTTTTAAGGGTACCTGGAACTTATTTTAATCAAGTTTGGTAAGACATGCAGGCATGGAAAAGTGACCATAAAACCAGAAGCAGGGCATGTCATAAAGTGAGGCCACATAAGGAAGCACCAGCGTCAGTCAAGGTAGAAGGAGTGAGGGGAAAACATGGACAAGAGCCTTTATTATAGTTTCCACAGGAAGGAATGGGAGAGACAGGGTAAGCACATTTAGGATTGGCTGGTTTGAACAATTCCAGTGTGCTCTGGGGCATAAGGGTTGTGCCTAGTCACCTGCTACTTAACTCTGGGGTGATTAGAGCAGTATTTACAAAAGAGATGGCTGGGGGCATGGGCTCTGGATTGATCAGTTTGCAGACACTCTTGCAGCTGAGTCTTCAGGAATTGGCTAACTTTGGGAAGTGCAGTCCATCCAAGGTCAGCGAGGCCCCAGATATCAGAGCATCAAGTGCAGAAACCAGAAAACATGGTTATTACACTTGGATAACTTAATCAAATAAAGGAATTCACTGAAAAGATATTGGGCAACTCACAGAATTGATGAAAAAAATGTAAAATTTGATTGAAAAATGAGCAGGATTTCAGAGGGAGGGTCTAGGCAACTGAAGACTCAGCTAAGATCTCACCTCTGGATATCCTGGGTGGCACGTCACTGTTAGGCCCAGCAGTGAATCTGCTTTACTCTATCCTGGCCCTCCACCAGTGACCACTTATGGTCATGCTGCTGAACTCTGCCATGCCTGCTGCAAACTGTCCTTCACTCCCCCATGTCCTTTTGCTACTTTATCAGATTCAAATTCGTGGGTGGGGCCATACATTTACCCCGATTCTGTCACATGTGTATTCTCTAGCTTCTAAGGGGCCAAAAAGGAGATACGGATACTCCTGTCCTTTCAGTACCTACAGTGAAAGGCAAGACTCTTTCTCCCATTATTTTGGGATTTTCTACAAACAAGGTTTTCTTATTCTGGGAGTGGGGAAAGAAAGCCAAATGTGTATGAGAGCTGTGCAGTGTGTATCGAACTATGAAGTGTGTAGAGTTTAAACAAATAGCTGGATTGAAGGGCAGAGAATGTGTGTGTGTGTGTGTGTGTGTGTGTGTGTGTGTATTTGGCCAAGCAAGAGGTGTTAAGGATATCTAGGAAGAAAGGAAGGAAGGGATTCTAGGCATTTTACAGAGCATGATGATGACATAAGTGAAGCAAGAATCAAAGATGTATCTGAGATTTTGAGCTGGAAAAAATACTGTCATTAAAAGAAGTGTCCTGAGTTTTATTGCTCTCAGGATGTCTAAGTGCCTATACTCAGGGAAGAGCTGGACACGTGGCACTGGACCCCAGGCAGTCAGACAGGGTAGAGAAGGGGATGTTTAAATGGTCCAAATTGTGATAATCGAGTCACAAGGGAGGGAAATTCTCTGTGATGATGCATATACTATTTAGAGGTGTTAAGAAAATGAGATCATTGCAGAAGGAGCCTTTGTAAAAACCTAGTTAGTGCATGAAAAGAGAAAGAGGAGCTTGCAGTGTTCAGTTAGAAACAGTAAGAGGATCTGGAAAGGAAGGAAGAGTAAAGTGAAAAAAAATGGGAAATTGAAGGGAATGACTATGGCCTACGATGGGGAAAGGCTTTAGGATTCAGTTAGATAGAAAGAGCGCAGCAGCAAGGCAGCAATGCAGATGAAAGCCAACTATGTCCAGGGTAAACAAAGGCAAGAGTGTGTAGCACTCAGGTAAGTTTGGCAGAGGAGAGAATAATATTTTCTGGAACTTTCTCTAATCCCGCCTCTCACATTTTTTCTATCTCTTTTGGCCTCACCTCAACCTTGTCTGATAGTTAATATAAATTTGCAAAGCCTCCAAATGGCTGAGAGGAAGTTGGTTCACTGGCATCCCTATTCTCCCCACCCTCCGTCTTTTAGGGGTTCCTTCGTTGCAGAGACCCAGAAAAAGTCAGGGAGGAGAAAAGCTCACACTTCAGCTAGAAAACTAGGGTAAGGTGAAAGGAAAGGTATAAGGTCATCAGTCTCAGCTGATCTAAGGAAGAGAAGCCAGGACAGAGGGACATCAGAAGGCAGCTTTGAAAAGTAAATGTCCTTTAAAGGAAGCAGCTATATTTATTTATTTATTTTTCATTATATATTATTTATTAATGTCCTTATTTATTGCATTTTGAATCAGGTGGGATTTCGTGTGTTCTCAGGTTTGGTACTCATTTTTTTTTGTAGTGCAGAAAGAAATGAAGAATGCACCCTGAGTTCCTACGGGGGGAAAGCATTAGATATACACCTTCTTTAAAAAAAAACAAAAAACAAAACTACTAATATCCTGATTTATTGCAAACATCAAAGTATGCCCAGGGCTTAGAGATACTCTCTCCCTCCATCCTCCAGTTCTAGTTCTAATCAAACATGGAAGAAAATCAATAATGAACAAGTCATATCCTTTGAGCTGGGGAACCTGCTGCGGTTTGTGTATCTATCAACACAAAGTATACTATACTCTCTCTCTCTCTCTCACAACCTGTCTCTCTCTCTCTTCCACTCAGACACCCTTGCAACTATCTATAGCCAATTCCAGTTCTGAAATATTTAGTTCCTCTGAGACTTAACTGCTGCGACCTATTTCTTCTTCTTCCCTCCCCTCTCTTAACCCTAGGTCCCAAATCCCATTCATCTTCACGGCCCCCACAGGGTCTGATTAAACACCACTGCAGCCCCACTTCCCTTTTGGCTGAACCATTCACAGTCAAGAGAGGTAGAGGGAATGCAAAAAACGGAAGGATGTGGAGGAGGCTGCCCAAGCACTGAATGTGGTGAGATGGGTCCTGACAAGATTTATGGGCCCTATATCACAGCTGAAATGCTGGAGGTGGTAAAACAGGAGGACTGGCAGTAATTTACAGTAGCTTGTTATGACAGACTTCTCGATTGAGGATGAAAAAGATGCCATTAAAACAAAACCAAGCTATCTGGGATGCTGTTGTAAACAACAGGTCTCTCCACACAGCCCCAGAACGAGGCAGATTCATAATTCTCAGGAAGTTGAGGGGATACGGGCTCCAGAGGAAGGATTCTGTCTCAAAGTCTCTATGGAAAGATGGGAACAAAGCAAGGATGGGGTGAGGACCTGGTGATGAGGACTTGCCAGATTTCCTCTCTTCTTTCGCTCCTCAATTGTAGACAGGGCATCCTGCCCTTCAAGAGCAGCTCTCTACTGTCTATCAGCAGTGACAGGCTGGCTGCGGATGATGGCTGCAAGGCTGCATGCCCGGGGAAGACTGGACCTGTTCTGGGCTGCTGTACGGATAAAATGGTCTGCAGCTCATGCACAATTTCAGACCTAGCTAGGGCTAATTCCGCCTTCCTCTCCCATTCAAGTGTAGCCCACATAAACTCAGGGTAGCTTCCTGTTGCTTTAAAGCAGCTTCTGTCCAGGGTTGGATCCCAACAGTTTAGAGTTGGAGAAATCAATTGAAAAGCAAATTAAATCTATAATGAAGTCTTTCTCAAAACTCTATAGGAAAGTCTCATTCATAACCCACCCATACTTAAAATACTCTTTCCTCACAAGGCCACTCTTTGTGTTTTTATTCTCTCACTCAAGCCACAACACCCTGTTGTACTCCCAAAACAGAAAAAAATCTCTTTCTACTTAGAGCTAAAATTTCTACCAAAAATCCAAAAATCCTAGACCATTCGGCTTCATTATCATTCTTCATTTCTTCTGGTTTATCCACATTTCTTTCCATTGTTTTTTTCCTTATGAAAACATTTGTTTCACCTGTAGCTCTGTGCTCTTTCCAAGGTGAATCCAAGGAACCACTCCACATTTCTGTCATTGTCCTTTCCCTAAATTTTATGCTTAACTCTCATTTTGAAGCAAAGTAATAGGTAATAGAACAAGGAAGAATTTTTCTTATGGAGTATCAGGGGAGGCCAGTCCATCAGCAACATTCTTTGGGTTGGGGTGGGGTCTAGAGATGGGGCTCAGGTATAAGGTGGGGATGCATGGGAGAGGTACCGAATACCCATAAAGTAATATTTTTACCTGTTTGGGAGGAACACAAATAAGTGACTGATACTTTGTAATGGAGATTCCTTGAATCTACTCTAATTCATTCATATGTTTAAAGTAAATAATTTGCAAACAGTAGTACTTCATCAGTTACAAGAGCTTGCTTGCTATTCTATACCATAGCTCTGGCGCGGAGCCCACAGTGCTGGAAAGCATGCTGCCAGGGCCTCGCCTGCCAGAACGCGCCTGAAACGACACTGGATTTCCATGTCCCCAGCTTGCTTTCCTGCTGCAGGGCTTCATTTCCTTTCCCCTGAGTGCCGGCTTTGATCTCTGCTTTCCTCTGTCAGAAAGCTCTGGGCTCTGGTGGGAGAACAGATGCAGGGAAAAGCCCTTGCTGGGATGCAAAAGTAAGAAGAATGTTTCTTAATAAGCAACATCTGAGATTAAAGAGATGCATTCAGCTTCATTTGGCTTAAAACTGCTTCAGTGTAAAGCACTGGATGGTATTAGTGTCCCTTCCCCCCTGCACAGGCTTGCTCCTTGCAGTTCTGGAGCACAGGGACATCCTGTTCCTCTTGCAGCCACTTCATGCCTTCTCTTTGTCCCCACCTTGAACCTCCACTCTCTGATTTCTTCCCTTAGCACAGGTAGCTTCCAGGCAATCTTCTACTCCTGTGCATTCTACAAACTGGAGATTAAACCAGAACTGGTAGTGGATTTAATAAATTCCAGTCCCAGAGTTCCATAATGGAAACCTCCAGGGCACAACTGCCCCTCAGCTCCCGATGACAGCCACTGACCAGTGCATGCAGCTTACCTGTGACAAATTATATGGTGAAACCACATGGCATTGTGTCTGTATCTGGACTTTCTGGCAGGAGAGATCTGAGTTTCAGTCCACAAACTTAGATTTCCAGAATTTTATGTATGCATATACAAATATATATATATATATATATATATATATATATATATGTTTTACACTGCAGTCTTTCTATTCAGATTATGGGCTCTGGTCTTGTTATGGACTAAATATTTGCATGCCCCCCAAATCTGTATGTTGAAGCCCTATCCCACAATGTGCCATTATCAGAAGATGGTGCCTTTGGGGAGTTATTAGGTTTAGATGAGGCCATGAGGGTGGAACCACCGTGATAGAATTAGTGCCCTTGTAAGAAGAGAAAGAGACACCAGCATGCTTTCTCTCTCTCTCTATCTCTCTCTCTCTCTCTCTCTCTCTCTCTCTCTCTCTTTCTCTTTCTGTCTCTATCTCCCTGCTATGTGAGGACACAGCAACAGGAAGATTGCCATCAACACCCTAGGAAGAGACTCCTCACCAGGTATTGAATCAGGAGAACCTTGATTTTGGACTTTGCAGCATCCAAAATTGTGAGAAATAATAGTCTGTTGTTTAAACCACCCAGTTTATGGCATTTTATTACAACAGTGAGGCTTAGTCTGTTTTCTTCTGCTATAACAGAAGGGTCTTGTGAAGTACCAAGGCACTGGAATAGAGAGACACCTGGTGGTTGGCCTTGAGTCTAAGAAATAAAACTTTTGAAAACAAAAGTCAGTGAGACAATTAACTTTTTTTCTGCTCTCTACCCTGCTAAATACCTCCTTAAAAATTAGAAGAGAAGAGGTTGTAGATTGACTGACTATGGAGAAAAGGGAGGGGACAAGGGGAAAAAGGGAAATTAATACCTCAAAGTTTGGACAAAAGAGCACATTTCCACATCAGGATGTTCTATGAAAATTCTGGCACTGGACCCCCGACCAAATTGATCAGAATATTTTGGAGCAGGGCTAAGGATTCCACGTTTTTAAACAATGCCTTCTCATGATACATATATCCACCAAAGTTTGTGGTCAAATTTCTGCTCTGAAAGTTTACATATGTTAGAATATATTTCTATCATTTCCCAAGAGAAGTTTAAGAGAGAGAGAAGGAGGAAATTGCCAAAAAAGAAGACCATCCCTGATGATTTGAATGCAGGCAAAATCTTGGAGGACTCTACAAAGCTGGAGCTGGGAGAACATGTACTGCAGATGTCAAAGCCAGTGCGGGAAGGTAAGTCAGCGGAGCCACTAGTGAAGTTTGAAGCAGGACGGGCATTGGAGCATTTGGGCTTTTGTGCACTAATGACAGAATTTGAGAGCTCTTGGAGACTCCCACGAAAGGGGAAGAACTGACATCTGACATTTGGCAGGTGGACCATAATGATATACTCAATTTAAAGAAAAATTCATAATCTTCTCTAAGAGCCATAAGTGGGTGGTGCTCAGTTGACACTGATTTAATACTCTCTATAATTAAAATGTGATATTCAGTAATAATACAAATTAAAGAAGACTTTAAGGGAAAAATCTTTCCAGATGAGTTGTATATCACTTATTCTGATATTTCTAGCCCCTGCTCCTCTTTCCCGTCATCTCAGTAAGAGTCATCTTCTGACTGATAATGTTTAAATATAGTTAGTCTCTTGGAACAAATTCTCTGGGCTGAAAAATGGTATCAGACAATCCTGGCCTGAGTTTACATTCATGCTTCCTCCTCTTGCCATTTTGCTTTAGGAGAAACCATCAAACCAACACAGAATGGGAGCAGTGGGGGCCGCAGAATTTACTCAAAAATACTTAAACCTCTATTGTAATGTGATTTGTTTGTTGTGGGAACTGAAAGATAAATGACTGCTATTATCTCACAGGTTTTCTTATGCTATCAATGAGCTTTGATTCATAGTTAGTCCTGAGAATTCTACTTCCTCCACTTATTTCAGGTCTGTTAAATAACAAGCTTATATGGTGGTGGAAAGTTAAGCTAGAATTCTATTCTTGAAGGATGGGGGGTATTCAGAGTTAGGCCTTAGATGGCAGTTCTACAGTGTAAATGCATAGGCTTTAATCTCTGCTTTCTGTATTTTCTCAAGGTCCCTCATGGGCTTTGACTACACCCTACAATTAATGCATACCTTTCAAAAAGATGTTGATATATCATTTGTTTCTTAGTGCGAATTTAAGTTATTGTAGCATCTTCCCCATGATTTTTCAGCCAAAACCCCTAAACGAAGAAGAAATCGCTAAGATTCCAGTTAAGGAAACTTCAAACATAATAGACAGAGTTGAAATACATAATAAAAGGCCCTGAATAAGATACAAATTCATTTATTCATCCACTCATTAGAAGTTTAGAGATTGATACTCAGACAAACATAGAGCAAGTTGTATTATTTCAAGCCTGAGAAGATATGACCAGAGATTGGTGCAGGGAAATGCTCTGTTTTTGAGACACTGAATGTCTCAAACCTAGCCTTATCAGTTTTATCTGCTTCTCAAGAAATATCCTGTCTGCATTTTTGTATTTCAGGACATTTTACACTCTCTCTTCTTATCATTAGGATGTTATTAGAATTGGAATTTGTATGTCATCCATACTTGCTTTATATGATCAATGTAATTTTGATGTTTACCTTATCTTTAGTGAAATTATGATGCAGACTTTAGTAAAAATAGGTAGATTCTTGGTGATACTTTCAGCTTCTGTGTTCTATGGAGGCTGGGGGTTGAAAATTGTAATTGGGATTTTCAAAATATAGAACGGTTCGTGCTTTATGTCTCATAGCAGAACAAGGGCCCGAAAAAGAAGACAACATTAGTGAATGAGCACCCTTACGATATATTAACACATATTGGCATCCAAAATTAATGCTCCCCACTGCTTATTCTAGGATGATTATTCCAGGTTGCTATTTTAATAGGTGAGCAATGAGCTTGGAAAGGGTCATAATTCTATTGAAATTGAGGGATGGAGCTATTTAAGATTGTGAGGAAGGGCTCTATACAAAGATGTATTCTCATAGCACATATCTATCACTCTTGCGTGCATCATGAGTCAATGAGGTCACACAGAGTGCTGTAAGCCAAGCTGCTCTCTGTCCTTAAAACGTTACCCTGGTGTAGTGCGTTGAATAATGTCTACCCAAAGTTCAGGTCCACTTTGAACCCTGGAATGTGACCTTATTTGGGAATAGGGTCTATGCATATGTAATTAGTTAAGAATTTTAAAATTATATCATAATGGATTTAAAATGGATCCTAAATTTAATGACTCATGTCCTTAAAAGAAGAGGAAAGGACACAGAAACAGAGAATATGGCTACGTGACAACGGAGGTAGAGGCTGAAGTGATGTTGGCCCCAAACTGAGGAAAGCCAAGAGTAACTAGAAGCTGAAAGAATAAAGAGAAAGATTCTTCCCTAAAGATTTTGGAAGGAGTGTAGCCCTGCCAATGCCTTGATTTTGGACTTCTAGCCTCCCAAACTGTGAGTGAGTAAATTTCTGTTATTTTAAGCCACATAGTTTGTGGCACTTTATTATAGTAGCTCTAGCAAACCAATATACCCAGTATCACTAGAGCACTCTCCTGTGCCCGGTCTTCAGCAGAAAACCATACTTCAGCGAAAACCTAAATATTTTCTAGGATTGTTGGAACAGGCAGAGACTGTTAATCACAATGATGCATAGGAGAGCTTACAGATGTAGAAGGCAGCATCAGAATATACCAGCTTAGACCTTCTCAGCCTCACCTGTCTCCAGGAACTTTGACACTTGTCCTCTTCCAGATACCACTGCAGGGAAGAGCCAGCTGCATGTGGGAAGAGCCAGGGGCAATTGGAAAGGGCTTCCCCTCATGCTATTGCTCCTTTTACACTTTCTGCCCTGAGGCTGTATCATTACTAAGGCTTGAAATGACACGTGGCTAGATGTCTACACATACACCACCTGGAAGTACAAGTGAATTAATATACCACTGTGGCTCAAAAAAACAATGCTCCAAAATGATGCCATCAGAAGCAGCCTTGGAGGTGAATTTTCCTCTTCTCCTGCCCTCCTGCCTCTCAGTCCCATTCTCCCCCCAAAGCTAGCTATAGAATCTAGAATCCCTCTTCTCCAAGGTGGGTCACAGAAAACAGAGCTCTCTTCCCCAAAAACTACTCATGAGATCTAAAACTATTACTGTAATTTTCCATGTGCATTTCTGTGTAAAAAATGGCCATAAATAAATGATCTGTTTCACCTTGTTTGACTGTAGATCATAAGACGCATCCCCCCGCCGCCTTTCCAGAGAGGGTTCTGCCCATACTCAGAAGGAGGGAATGCTGCTCAGAGACACCAAGAAGAATCTAGACAGACAGGCCTTGCTCAGTTTCCCCACTCAGTCTATTAGCATTAAGTCATTCCCGTTTTGTCAAATCATATTTATATATAGCTGTCCATACTTTTATGTCCATAAGCATAAAAATGGACAATCTCCCCTGTATCTTTGGGTCTTCATTCTGAAGGCTCCTGTGTACATGTTAAATGGGTTTGGATGCCTTTTATTCTATTAATCAATCTGCCTTATGTCAGTGATTTTCAGGGAACATTTAAGGTTCGAAGGGCCTTAGCCCCTACAATAGCATCCAGCAAACCTATACTTCAAAGGATGAATGAAAGCAGTTAAATTCTTCTGACATCCTCCCACAAAGCAGATTCCTAAGACACATGAGTTCACATCGCCTCTCAGCTGAAGATCCTACAAGCTTTTGCAGTCAATCAATTGAGCTGGACACTAAGCCATGATCAGTAACATAACACACCTTAATATTGTTGCTTCTCCTTCCCTACCTCCCTTTCCTTTTTTCTCATTCCTCCTGCCTTGGATTTTGCTTCCTAATAAAGTAGTAGCACATAAGCATTTGCCTCTGGCTTTGCTTTCTGGGGAACCCAAGTAAAACACAGCTTTTCAGTGAGCCAATTGACCTAAATCTCAGTGAATGTCTTAATCAAAATGCTCTCAGTTACAAGTGGAAAGAAAGTGCCCAACTGAAAATATCTTAGGACATTTATAAACTTTTGCAATAAGAAGGGCTGACTTTAGCGTGGCTGGTTCAGGTATACAAATATTGCAGGTTCTATTTACTCTTATCTGTCAGCTTGTTTTTACAAATAGGTCCAGAATCACCTCCCTCCGGCTTACTATTCCCATTAGAAAAGAAGTTTTTCTCCTACAAAGTGATATATATTCATCCAGGGAGGTACGCATATTCATCCCTGGGACATGCAGTCTTCCCGCAGGAGGACTCAGTGGTAATGGGGATTTGGTTGGGCCAGGGAGGCCAACCTCATAATTGTCATTCTCTCTAGGAATGCATGACATAGAGGAGAAGTTTCTTCAAGAAATATAGATTCAGAGCAGGCGAAAGCCAGAGATTACATGGTAAAAATAATCTACATAATTATGGGGTTCAGGTTCCACAAGCAAACCATGAGCTACAGGCTCAGTTTCTAGGATGAGCTAATACTCAGATTCCAGCTAAAGTTAATCAGCTATTCTCAGGGGAAACATTTTTATTTGTAAACACCATCTTTCTTATTGCTTTTATTTGACATTGTAGCCTACAATCTTACCAAAGTGTGGTCCACAGACCAGCAGCATAAGCATTACCTGGGAGCTTGTCAGCAATGCAAAACCTCAGACCTCAGGTCAGACCTGCTTAATCAGAATCTGGATTTTAACAAGATCCCACAGATTTGTACACACACTAAAATTTGAAAAGCACTTTTCAAATGTCCTGTGTGAAGACAAGCTGAACCTCTGGAATATATGATGGGAAAGGATCCATTTGGCCTAACAAGGTTTAAGGGGGGAGCAATAATTTTGTCATTGGAATAAGATGCTGTCATATTTTAAAAATAATATTAAAATTGATGCTCAAATAAAGTTATCCATTTCTTAGAGAAGAAGCCAGTATTTCCCCAAAAAGGAATTTATTTACATAACCAAGAAGATTATGGATTAAACACCTTCACTCTTTCACAGAGATTATACCAAAGTGTGATTTTTTTTTTTTAAAGGAGCAGAGTGTAAAAACAGATCTTGCAAAGTAAAACGGTGGTCATGTAATGAGTTGGCTAGCAGGCATTTAAGAGAATTTAAATATTCTCTTAAATGCAAACTAGCCAAAAGACTTATTTATAGCATCAGAAATAATATCTCCATACAATTTGGAGGTTATAAGATGTAGTGAAGCATCACCTAGAAGCTTAGTAATGCATTATTTGTGGAAGTACTGTTCTCTCCAAACAGTACTTTGATTAACAAAAATCAAAGTCCATAGAAGAACAACTACCACTTTTGAAAGGAAAATATTATCTCTACCTTTCATATCAGAGGAAAATGCACATAGACGGGGATAGGTTATATGACTAGAGAAATAGAAAAGGCTGAAACTTCTTCAACATTACAATCCAAAAGGAAAAAATGGTATGCAGTTGTCATATTATCATTTGTTCTAATATTTTCATTCACAGTCATTCACTATGATTGAATCTAAATCACAGCAACACATTGTGAGACAGAAATGTACTTCCTTTTAAAAAAATTATTCCTTTAACAGTTTTGTGCCTGAGGTTTAATAGCACGAGGTAAGAACATGGGAAAAAACAATTGTGGCTCATAAGAAATCAGAGCCTATCATGTATTCATTGTAGTAAGTTGAATGATGCTTCCCATCCCCCACGCCCTCCACCACCCAAAAAAAAAAAAAGTCTATTTAGAAGCCACGAATATGACTTTATTTGGAAAAGAGGACTTTGCAGATGTAATTAAGAATCTTGAGATGCCATTATCTTGGTGTATTAGTCGGTTTTCATGCTGCTGATAAAGACATACCCAAGCCTGAGTAATTTGTAATGAAAAAGAGGTTTAATGGGCTCACAGTTCCACATGGCTGGGGATGCCTCACAATCATAGTGGAAGGCAAAAGACACATGTTACGTGGTGGCAGGCAGGAGAGAAGTAAGAGCCCAGAGAAAGCGGCTTATAAAACCACCAGATCTCGCGAGACTTATTCACTGCTACAAGAACAGTATAGGAGAAACCGCCCTCATGATTCAATTTTCTCTCACCAAGTCCTTCCCACAACATGTGGGAATTATGGAAGCTACAATTCAAGATGAGATTTGGGTGGGGACATGGCGAAACCATACGACTTGGATTAAAGCAGCCCCTAAATGTAATGGCTGGTGTCCTTACAAGAGAAAGAAGACACAAACACTGAGAAAAAGGCCCTGTGAGGATGGAGGCAGAGAGTAGAGTTAATCTGCTATAAGCCAAAGACTACCTGGAGCTTCCCGCAGTTGGAGGAGGCAAGAAAGGACGCATTCCTAGAGGCTCCAGAGGGAGCACGGCCCCACCAACACCTTGAATTTAGACTCTTCTCCTCCAGAAATATGAGAGGAGAAATTTTCGTTATTTTAAAGCCACTCAGTTTGTGGTAATTTGTTATGGCAGCCCTAGAAAATGAGTGCACTCATTTGGGGTACTTTGTCTTTCTTCCAATGTCTTGGTGGGTTTTCTTGCAATAAGCATTCATAGGTGGGCTTTGAATGTATGGCTCCCAGCAACCCAATGTTTTCTTTGCTTTGTGATATAGAGGGGGAGGTTTGCTGTCGGCAAAAGATGCTGGTGACTGGCTATGTGTATTGGATGATGCTTGAGTTATCATTCCAGGATGCATGATAATCCATCCACATACACCCTACAAGTTCTTGTGTGATTAAGGCATGAGAAATCGAAGAAACAGAGGTAGGCATAAAAGTTGGCATATGTAGCTACCCCACTCTGCACTTTATTTTCACTCTTTTCCATTTCAGAGAAAACCAACCTTAGATCATACCCTTGTTTTAGTCATTCCATTTCAAATTCTTGTCAGGTGTATTCCCAGAAATAGATCAGGGCACTAATAATTCATTCTGCGGTTTGGAGAAAAAGCAAGGGGTACAGAGTACGAATAGGAAGCTATTATGAATTAAATGATAAAGCTATGTGGTTATCCCTGGGGTAAAGGACTCACAGCCTCAAACCAAGTCCAATGCCAAAAGGAACTCAGCAGACTCAGTCTAGTTCTGGTCTTGATGTCCAGATATGGTTACAGTAGATGCAGAGATTATTAGAGCGTGTAAACACACAGCTCATTGTTCTGATAGTTTGTTCCAAACTTCATAATGGAAAAGAGGTGCAAGTATTGCCCTTCCCTATTCTGTTTAGACCTACTAGCAGTCATTTCCTTCCCTTGCTTGCCCCTAAGAAATGGAGATCCAAAGGTGAAAATTGGAATCAGATTCCAGAGAGTTTACCTGAGTACAAAAGCCTCTACACCCCAAAAAGAGTCAGAGAAGCCCTCAACAGCCAAGTACAGAAGGGAATTATCCCTGGGAGATCACCAAAAGGGAAAGTAACCCACTATTACACATCAAATTGTGTGCTACCTCCATTCAATTTTTTTTTTTTGAGATGGAGTCTTGCTGTGTTGCCCAGGCTGGAGTGCAGTGGCATGATCTCAATTCACTGCAACCTCTGCCTCCTGGGTTCAAGAGATTCTCCTGCCTCAGCCTCCCAAGTAGCTGGGATCACAGGCACCCGCCACTACAACTGGCTAATTTTTGTATTTTTAGTAGACTCGGGATTTCACCATGTTGTCCAGGCTGGTCTCGAGCTCCTGAGCTTAGGTGATCTGCCCACCTTGGCCTCCCAAAGTGCTGGGATTATAGGCGTGGGCCACTGTGCCTGGCCACTATCTCCATTCTTAAATCTGGGATAGCATTGTGGGAGTCAAGGGAAAACTCCCCCATTTCCCTCTAAAGGATCGCTGAAAAATCAACTCTCAATAGGCACATTAATTAGAGAAAAGGCATATAAATTTATTTAACAAGTGTACAGAGGAGTCTTCAAAATGAAGACCCAAAGATGCAGGGGAAATTGTCCATTTTTTTGTCTAGGTTTAACAAAGTATGCACAGCTGTGTAGAAATATGACTGTGCAAAAAGGGAATGATCTAATGCTGATGGACTGAGTGAGGACACTCAGCAAGGCCTGTCTGTCTAGAGTCTTCTTGGCCACTCTGAGAACTTATTCCTTCCTTCTGGGTGTGGGGCAGGACCCTCTCTGGACAGGAGGTCTCATGACCTACAGCCCAACAAGGTAGGTGAGAGAATTTCTTTGTGGCCAGTTTTTACACAGAAAGACAGAAGGAAAATTAGAGCAATAGTTCTAGGTGTTATGGCTGGCTTTGGCAAAAAAGGGTTTCTGGCTTCTATGACCCATCTTGAAGAAGAGGGACTCCAGTTTCTCTGGCTGGCCTCAGGGGAGAATAGGACTGAGAGACAGGAATGGGGGAGGAGATGAGAGAAGAACTTTTACTTCTGAGACCTTCATTTTAGGGTATTGTGTTGTGACTTTCAACAGCATCAAAGAATCCCCTCTGCTCATATTCTGAATAAAGGCTGATGGTATACTGACTAATTGTTGAATGTTCGAAAGGACAGTGGAGTCAAGAAAACCCCGGCATGCTCACTTTAGAGAACAGATGAGAAGGAACCCAGGCGAGAGTAAAAAACAGTGATCTCAGACTGAGCTTGAATGAAGGGAACCTCTTAACAGAGAGCATCATATGCCTGTTGGAGGTGTTCTCCAGAGTTTCAGGGAGTATCAGTACCCCCTGCCCTGAAAAGGAAAAATCCCACTTGATTTTATAGCCATGAACAGTTAGAATAGGAACTGTGGTGAACTGAACAGCGGCCCTTCAAAAGATATCCAGGTCAAACCCCTGGAACTTGTAAATGCTACCTTATATGACAAAAGATGTGACTAAGTTACAGATCTTGAGAGAAGAAGCTATCCTGGATTAAGCAGGTGGATCCTAAATGCAATCATCTGTGTCCTTACAAGAGTGGGGTAGGAGTTTTGAGAGAGACAGAGGAGAAGGCAATGTGAAGATAGCAGAGAAGAAGATGTGGCCACAAGCCAAGGAATGCTAACGAGCTACCAGAAACTGGAAGGGGCAAGGAAGGATTGCCCCCTGGAGCCTTCACAGAAAGTACAGCCTTGCCTACACCTTGATTTCATACTTTTGCCACCCAGGACTGTGAGACAATAAATTTCTGCTGTTTTAATCCACCCAGTTTGTGATCATTTGTTATGGTAGCCCTAGGAAACTAAAACGAGAACTAAGCCAGGTGTGGTGGCACACACCTGTCATCCCAGCTACTCAAGAGACTGAGGTGGGAGGATCACTTGAGCCCAGGAGGTTGAGGCTGCAGTGAGCTGTGATTGTGCCACCGCACTTCAGCTTGAATGACAGAGTGAGACCTCATCTCAAATAAATAAATAAGTAAATAAAACAAGAATGAAAATCCCACAAGCCTTAAGGACCTCTTTAATGCCCTTTCACTCACACCCCAAGGAACAAATGTTTTCCTTCAGCATTTTAGATTAAGTAATAATAAATCTCCTAGGCTTTGGAGATTCATATATCAAAAGCTAATATATTTTTAGTTTCAACAACATAATTTTTCTGCCAAGAAACGTAAGTATAGATTTCTATTAGAAAGAAAAATGTGTCGAGGGTAAGGGATTTTGGATCTTGACTTAAACATGGAGTTTATGCATCTGTTAAGTTCTGTATTATTTACAGTCATTTCAAACATAGAGAAAAAAATGTCAGAAGAGAGAGACCAGTATGAAATCCTTAAGGAAAAAAAGTGACTGAGAGGGAGAGAAAGAGAGAGGTACCCATGTATCAAGAAATAGAGTTTAGATCGATTGAAGGCGCCTAACGGAGATTATGAACTGTAAATAACAGCTTCATCATTCCCATCCAGGAAATACAGTTCTCTTGGGAAAAGTACTGAGGGGCAGTGATGGCCATTAGTGTGCCATCAGACATGATTTACCTTGGGTGTTAACAATACGGCAATATGCACTAAGCCAGGGGTTTCCTTTCCAAAAGTACGTTCAGAGGTCAAAACTTGAGTTTTCTAAAATCAAAGTTACAGGAGGAAAAATTTCCACAAAAGTGTAAAGTCCTTCCGACTTCTACAGATTTCAAGGTTTAAACCTAACTGCATCCTGCGATGGGACCAGCTTGAAAATCACATCACCATCCGGCATCTCAGATTGATGTATGTAAACTATTCCTCCATCCCAAGGGAGCTTCCTCAAGCTGTCCACTAGGACAGGAGGCTGGAAGCCAGAATGGGCTGTGTTACAATCTAGTGGGAATTTTCATGATCCACTGTCAATAAGAAGACAGCCATAAACATATGCACTGGCTCATGTGCCAAATGTTTATAAGCAATTGTTGTGAAACCATGTTCCTGGTTAAAAATCAAAAGCAGATTGAAAGCAATGCAGCATTCCTGGGCTTTCTTTTAAGGAAACCATTTATTCAGTTTTTCTGGGAACCTGTAATTCTTGGGTTAACAATAAGCATGCTGATTATAAGTAAGAATGCATTCTCATAGCCTACTGTTTATAATAAATATTATCTCCAATAAGTAAGGTGTGGGACTAATGTATACTTAGTTTTTACTCTGTCTATAATGTTGAATTTCTATTGACTCACAATCTGGAAAAGTTGAGATTTAACTCAATTTGAAGATAGTACCTACTCTAAGTTGGACACTTGGCTATGTTTCTTTGAATATATTATGGTATTTAATTGTCAAGACATCCTAGTGGATCAACTATCCGTAGCCCTGTTTTACAGATGGGTATGCTTTAAAAAATTATTTTATGTAATCTTCCTCCTTCAAGATGATTAACACAATCAATTATAGAGTAATCTAAACTCCAACATGTGATTTCGGGATTTTAAGTGACAGAGCCAGGGTTCACAATCTAGTAATTCGTGTCTAATAAATGTTTTATATCAAGTAGTCCCTACAGTTCGTTCTAACTTTGAAAAGGTATTTCTATGACCGAGTGGTAGCAAATATCAACACATTACTCTAATCAAAGTACTCACAACAGCCAAAAAATAAAATACAAGTGAACAAACGGAGAATATCTGATATAAGATACTGCTGACCCATTTTAATATGCTTTAAAAATCTTCTAGAAAAACAAGCTACAAGAGACAAGAAAAGAAAATGAGCTATGAAGACAAATATAAATGAAACCCTATTATTAACTTTATCTGTTTGGTTGTAATATTTTTTCCAATTATTTACTCCCTTTCCTATAAGAGGATAATAAATCTCCTTCTGTTGTTATATATCTTGTAGTATCTTCCTGCATTAGTAATTTAATTCCCTGCTGTATGGTTAGGCTTGGCCACAGACATTCTTTGGCCAAGGACATTTGAGCAGAAGCATTAAGGGTCATGGCCCTAATACTCTTTTCCTTGCTATAAGAATGGCAAGGCTCAGACAGTGGCTGCTACTTCATCCTAGATATTGAAGGGAGAAGGCAGATGGAGTTTAATTATAGCTGACTCACAGTTGACCACATGCAAAGTAACTAGAAAAAAGCTATCATGCTTGTATGCAGCTGCAAATTTGTGAGTTGTTACTGTAGCACAGCTTATCACAGGCTGTTACATCTGGATATTGTTCTGCTTTCTTTCTTAATTTTCACACCATCAAATGATTCTCAACCTAAAACTCTATACTCAGCCGAGCTAGAAACTAAATGTGAGGGTAGAATAAAGCCATTTTTAGTCATGCATTGCCCCCAGAGTTTTCCTCCAATGCACTCTTTCTTAAGCTACTGGAAAATATATTCCAACAAATTAACCAAAGAAGCCAAAATGGAAGAATAAATGGGATCTAGGAAAAGAGGAAATCCAATCCTAAGAGAAGCAAAGGAAATTACCAGGATGATGATGAAGAGAGATGTCAAAATGACAATTGTGTACAATCACAGAAGAGCAAGTAAGGCTTCACTAACATGAAATTGACAGATTACTTACCATGTTGAACATGATTTTGTGCAGAAATTTTTACCAATGGATGAGAAGCTCAAGTTCAATTATTAGTGTTTTAAAAATCCAGAAAACTAAATGAAAGAAAAAAGAAAAAGAAGCAAAACAACTACTAACTCTAAGAAATGAAACCATGTTGTGGAGGTAAATAAAGTTAACTGTGGTTGAACTGTAAAGCATTTTTACCTAGTCATAATGTAAACACTAAATACTGATCTAACTAAAATTGTAACACAAGTGTATTGAGAGAATGTGTGATCAGGAAGCTTATAGCATGTGTAGCCAGTAGGGGTGAGGAGGTAGTAAAAAAAGAGCTAATCTTTCATATAATGAGTTAATTGATAATGCCTAAAACTGAAAAATCAAGCAGTAGAAGTATATGCATGTTCTTTACAGATATGTAGGCAAATTCAAAGTATAGCTGGTAGGCCAGTTCAGATTCTTGACTTTGCTGAATGAACGAATTTGAGAGCGAGTACATGGTAAAAATAGGCAAGAGAATGTGTATGTGTGTGGTTTTTTTTTTTTACCTTTTATTTTAGGTTCAGGGGTGTATGTACAGGCTTGTTACATAAGTAAACTTGTGTCATGGGGGTTTGTTGTACAGATAACCTCATCACCCAGGTATTAAACCTAGTACCCATTAGTTATTTTTCCCAATCCTCTCCCTCCCCCGACCCTGCACCCCCCAATACTATGCAGGCAAGAAAATTTATTGCAAAGCAAAAGTACACTCTGACAGCTGATAAGAACTGGCTGCTAAAAGGTGAGACAGCACAGACTGACATGGGGAAACTCCCTTTATGGGAGTCTTGTATGATTATTCATAAAGAGGTGGGATGGAATGCTGCCATTAAGCATGTTATAGGTGGTTTTCTGGCATGCATGCGCTGTGGTTGTAGTCACTAGTACACATACATGTGCTGTGGTTGTACACGCTAGTACATTTAAGATGCATGTCTCATTAGCATCTTAAATCTCCACCCAGGGGTGTGCTTTTTACTATTATAATGAGCATAAGTCAGGCCAAGAACACTAATCATGTGTTTCTGTGATTGCATACATTTGGGCATTTTCCCTTTTGCTCTTCTGCCTCTTTGCTGGAGGATGTTCTAACCACCAGCCCAGGATGTGATTGGTGCACTGTAAGGGGGTTTGTTCTCTGAATCTATTTAGCAAGTTTGTTCTCCTTTAAGGGAGGCTGTAACCACCCTACCTAACCTACCTCAAAAGAACATCAGCTACAAGTGTTGAAATTTGCTGCCTCTGGGGAATGAGAAAAGAGAATACCAGAATCACCACAATGCTTTTTTTTTTTTTTTTTTTTAGACAGAGTCTTGCTCTGTCACCCAGGCTAGAGTGCAGTGGCACGATCTCAGCTCAATGCAACCTCTGTCTCCCAGATTCAGCGATTCTCCTGCCTCAGCCCCCTGAGTAGCTGGGATTACTACTCAGGTGCCCGCCACTGCACCCAACTAATTTTTGTATTTTTAGTAGAGATGGGGATTCACCATCTTGACCAGTCTGGTCTCGAATTCCTGACCTCATGATCCATCCACCTCAGCCTTCCAAAGTGCTGGCATTACAGTCATGAGCCACTGCACCCGGCCCAGAATGTTGTTTTTTTTTGTAACAAGCTTCATAGAAAGAACTACATCACTTTTTGAACGACATGCATGTACAATTTTGATACAAGGAAGAACTGATTTAAATAAAAATCCATGTTCAAATGCAAGGATTAGCATTTGGAAGATGCATATGAGGTAGTTAAGAAGAAAATAGACAAAACATTTTCTCTTCCAAAGTGTTTCCCTACTTTGTATTTTTCTAAGTCAAAACTACATTTTCAGACCTGTGGCTTGTCTGCTAAATTTCTGCCCTTTCACTCGATCTCAAACTTTAATGTCAAGCTCCTAAAAGTTTTCCATCTTAGTTCTCTCAGACAAGAGAAAACATGTGTATAATGAAAAACCACAACCCCAAACAAAAAGCAAAAGCAAACAAACAGAAAAATTCACAATTCAGACTGAAAATACAGCATCTATTAGTCTCCTGAGACTCTTTATCAAAACAAGGGCTCTTGGAACCTGAGCAGATATGGAAATCCAAACACCTGCTGCTCCCGTCTTTCTTTCGGATGTATTTTTCTTTTTACTTCCAGTGTTGTTAACCAGCAGTGACCAGCAAGGTGGTGCGTCCTTCCTGACCAGATATTCACTCCACAGCTGGGTTGCATACTGAATGCCAAATTAAAAATCAGTATTCCTGAAATTAATTCTGACTAGTGGGAGGAGGGTGCCCTCCAGAGCCTGCACACGAGCATGTGTGTGGATGTGTGTGTGAGCTTACTTGAAGGCAACTGACAGGGTTTGCATCAAACCTTTGTGTGTCTGTGCCTGTATCAACCCTTTTATAAAACAGCTACCTGAAAAGAAAGATGATCACTCAGATAAACTGTATTTTAAATAAGTCCATCTGCAAATGGACTGCACGCACATATGAACGTGCACACACACAACACACCCCCAGAGCAACCAATTCATAGAATAAAAAAACTTTCATGTCTTCTTTCAGTAAGCCACAACCTCAAAAATTGTCTTATAATAGGGTTCTATGGATGTGATTTGCACACTGTTGGGTGGTATAATCATTTTCTTGCAGAAGACCTTGCTTCCCTTCAAAAAGACATAATTAAAAAGACTGGAAGCGAGACATCCTTTCCCAACTACTCTTATGAAAGTCTGTGGACTAAAATGCAAATCTCAATTATGATCTCTCTCATGAAAGTGACTCTATCTGAAAAATGTGTCCTATTATTACTCTTTAATTTCTGGCACACAGAGACATTCTCTGAGAAAACATCTAACATGGAACTCTGCAATTAGAATCACAGAAACATGGGTTTATGATTTTAAAGTTTGTAGAAAGCTTTGGGATGATTCAAAACCCAGGGGATCATATTGAAGAGATAGTGGGGGCTCATGAAGGCAGGTTCCCACAGGCAGTTAGTTACATAGTAGAAGCAGCCTGCTAGTCCACTCACTAAGCTGATCCTGGAACAAACTGTTCAGAACCAGAGGCCATTTATTTAAAATGGGGTACAATGCCAGAAAGTAAAATGATCTCCTGTTTTCAGACAGCAAACTTTGTTTCTACTTGGAGTATAGAATATTGCCTTCTGTATCAAGGTAAAATTCTATAAACAAAGAGGGCATAAGGTATAGAAAACAATCTGCCAACTTTGCCCAATCCAAGATTATGCTCATATATGCATTATTTTGAAAAATACTAATTGCAACATATTTACTGAGTAGTCCATGATGTTAGAGAGGAGACTGATGAGGGGGAAATTTAAATGCACATCTGAATTGAATCAGGGATCCCCTAACACCCTTCTGTCCAAGAACCCCTTCAGGTGGGCTCTGTACTTTTCTTAGGTAAGTTTCCATGAACATACGCTGAAGAAATGAGAAGGAAGCTTATCCCCAGAGAGCATTTCTCTAGCTTTTAAGTCATTTCTGTCGATCGTTTCACCTTTTTCTCTCAGTCATCTTATCTAATGCAATATAATGTAGATTTGGGAATTTGAATGCACAAATATCTTTACAACTGAGCAAAATAATCTTGGAGCACAGACTATGTTCTGGGTAGGGAGGATGCAGGTGCACATTTTAACATTAATCCTTTAAACCCATGTGAATGTAATCAACCAAACAATCTCTTTCAATTCTTTCCCGTTTGACCCCACTTTAGAATCTCAATTTTTATCTCATAATCCTTTATTTGCCAATACTATGTTCACTTCTGAGTAACCTAAATAATTCCAGCACACATATTCCCAGAAAGCATAGACTCTGGCTGAACTGAGGAAAATCAGGTGGATGCAGGGAGAGGCTATCTTCAGTGATTCTCTGGGGGCTGAAACTAGTTTCATGTGCCAATATCCAATGCTATTTAAAAGAACATAATGGAGAGAGGATAATCTCAAACCCACACACACAGAAACTAAGTTCCAGAAAACCAGGCTGCAACAAGATGAGAAAACAACAACAACAACAAACACCCTGACAGATTTGCTTCTCTTTCATGCTGGCTAATTTCCCTGGGAAACTACTGGCCAGCAGCATGGATTCCAAGTGTATTCTCTATGCTTCTCTCACCTTGTCATTTAAAGGAAAGCCTAGGCACCACTGCCAGTGCTTGTCACCTCACTTATCAAGGTACATGCTACGGGCAAAGAGGCTATTTAGTATAGAAAGCAATCTTCAAACTTTGCCCCTAAAGAAAACCAAGATAATGCCCACCTCTTTTTCCACTGGAAACTCTCTCTCTTTCAATCTTGTTGTGGCCTGTGGTCTAATGCTACTCTTCCTCTTTATGAAAAAGCCATGCTTTTTGCCACTAAGCCCAGTGACTTTTGAACTTTGCACATGATGACCATCTGAATTAGGCTTACCTGTCCTGGACACATAACCCTCTATTTTTCTTTCCCTTGGTTGAGTTTCCAATCAAGGCTAGCCGTTCTGCAAAGAGATTAGACACACACATGCACATATACAGCTCCTAGAAGGGGACTGTGCACCGTTCATCTTTAACAGATGAAGTCTATTTATTGCTTTTCCCCTCAGGAAAGGCACTCTGTCTTCTGGCTTCCCATCAATGACCACAACTTACACTATGGGATTGCAGTTACATGTCCTCCACACCAGTTAATTATTTCTCTAAAAATAGTATAGTCATCAACATCTTTCCAATCTAATTACAGTTCAATTCCTAGGTAATCTATTACACTGGACATACACTCAAATTCAACATTATTTCGAAGGTAGATTCCTGTCAGAGTTCCCTTCTCAGCATTCTTTTCATCTAATATTCTTCAACATGACAAGTGACATTTTTCATTCATATGTATTTCAGACATCTTAGGAATGCTATGGAAATAGATAAGCAGATAAACAAAAGCCTGTGTTTCCTTCCCTGCTGAATGACCACCCTTAGGATATATATCCTTAACCTATGTTTTGACCACTAACCTCTCTGCTTCCTTGGATGGTTAATAACAGAGGAGGGTAGGCATGGAGCTTCTAATAAATCAGAAATGGATTTTATTTAAAACTGCAATCCATGCCTTTGCATTTTGGGGTCTGCTGAATAAAAACAGGAAGCCTAATTTGCACATTCCTTCAATGGTTTCCCTCTGCTATCTCCACTCTTCCTTGGCATTCTGCTGAATATGCACCTCAGAAAGAATTCAAGGCTTCCTTGGCATGATTTTGATGAATAGGAACCTATGAGGCTTAATAAGAGGCACCAAAATGGACAGACACCTAAGGGGAAAAACAGGTCTGTGTTGATGGATGTCTTTCCCTGGGGAGTTGGGGCACTGCTGAGATGCAGTTTTTCCAGCAATTGGTAAAATGGAAAGATAATTCAAGGCAGCACATGCAAGGCAGGGTGTGCAATGTATTTTCTTGGCAGCAACGAGTGTGCAGAAAAAATCAGATAAGTAGCTGCTTCACAGGTTGCCAGAGGGATATACAGCAGAGAAAGGAGTGTGCCCAGAAAGGATGGCATGGAATGAAGATGTGAATATTACGCTGGTCCAGCTAAGTGGTGGCCCACAGTAGCCTTTATCTACTCATTCATTATTGACCTGAACTCCTACCAGAACATTCACTTTTGGTGCTCCCATTTTTTAAAAAAAATTAAGAACAAACAAACAACAACCACCACCAAACACCCCCTCCCCACCCAGACTCCAAGGGTTTCTAAGCTTCATGTTCAGAGGAAGCAAAAACTGCAAGGTATTATAACAATCATTTTCTAGTAAAATTGTATGCGATCACTCAGGAAATAACACCTTCACTTACACAAGATCAGCTTGGTTAACAGGGTGGGGGTGTCACTGCTGTTTCTTGCAGATATATCCACTGAGCTTTTCCCCACATTGACCTGTTTTCCTAACACTTTTTTGAAGATAGAAACTCTTAAAACTTATTTAGAAGGGATGTTTAGCTTATCTTCTACCCCATCATACCTCATTCTGCTAATTTCCTTTATATTTCTTTCTCCCTGATGAATATTGGAAACTTGCTAAGGGAATCTGTGGTTGAGGTGAATGGGTTACGTATGAAGCATGTTTTTCATTCTGATGCTTCGACTCTGGAACGTTCCTGACCCTAGAGAGACTAACTTTCCCAGAGCCAGCCAATTCCTAGAGATGGTAAATGATTCACCTGCCTTTCATATGAAAACCAACAAGTCCAAAGTCAATACCTTCAACTATCTCCTCTACCAGGCTCTTATACTCAGGGCCATTACTTCCCTTCCCTAATTACCCAAGAGCCATGTGTTAGAAAACAAGGGACAGCCATATGCCCTAGAGCCCACTAAAATTATCAAGCTAACCAATCCCAAAACTGCTTACCCCACCATAACCATTTATTTTCAAGGAAACCATAAATATACCCAAAGGATTATACTCCCAAAATTATAAATCATCCTACTGTAAAGACATATGTACACATATGTTTATTCCAGCACTATTTGCAATTGCAAAGACTTGGAACCAACTCAAATACCCATCAATGATAGACTGAGTAAAGAAAATGTGGCACATACACACTATGGAATATTACACAGCCATAAAAAAGAATGGGTTCATGTCATTTGCATGGATATGGATGAAGCTGGAAGTCATCATTCTCAGCAAACTAACACAAGAACAGAAAACCAAACACTGCATGTTCTCACTCATAAGTGGGAGTTGGACAATGAGAACATGTGGACACAGGGAGGGGAACATCACACACTGGGGCCTGTCAGAGGTGGGGGGCAAGGGGAGGGATAGCATTAGGACAAATATCTAATGCATGTGGGGTTTAAACCTGGAAGATGGGTTGATAGGTGCAGCAAACCACCATGGCACATGTATACTTATGTAACAAACCTGCATGTTCTGCACATGTATCCTAGAACTTAAAGTAAAAATTTAAAAAAATTGCCTACCGTGTAAAAAAATAAAAAAAGAAGGAAGGAAGAAAGAAAGAAATGAAGGAAGGAAGGAAGGAAGGAAGGAAGGAAGGAAGGAAGGAATAAGAAAGAAAGAAAAAAGAAAGAAAGAAAGAAAGAAAGAAAGAAAGAAAGAAAGAAAGAAAGAGAAAGAAAGAAAGACTTGCCCATGTTCTCCTATCATATTCCTTCTGCCTCCTGACCGAAACTAGTGCTTCTCCACGTGACCCTGTGTATGTGGCTTACCCACTCCTGTTGAGAACTATGAATAACAAACTATGTCTTCAATGGCAATTGTCTCCTGATTTTTAGGCCTTAACATTTCTGAATAAGAATAAAAACTTCACTTTAAAACAGGTTATTGTAAGCTTTCTTTAATTTCATGTTTGGCATAAGTGGTAGTGGAAATCAGGAGGATTTCCTCACCCTGTGAGGGAAAATATTCTGTAAGCCTACAGGGAATGACAGATCAATGCTAAGAGTCTGCAGGAAATGATTCAGAAAATATTTCAAAGAAACGGGATCTTAAACAATTCTAAAAGAGTAGCTCTTGTGGACTAAATATTGTCCCCCAAAAATTCATACCTGGAAGCCCTAATACACAATGTGACTATGTTTGGAGATAGGGCCTTAAAGAAGGTAATTAAGGTTAAATGAGGTCATAAGGATGGGGTTCTAATTCAACAGGACTGATGTTCTAACAAAAAGAGGAAGAGATATCAGGAATACTTGCATACAGAGAAAACACCATGTGAGGACACAATGAGAAGGCAGCCAACTGCAAACCAAGGAGAGACCTCACGAGATACCAGTGCTGTCTGCGCCTTGATATTGGACTTCCCAGACTCCAGAACTGTGAGAAAAACATGTCTGTTATTTAAGTCACGCCATCTGTGGCATTTTGTTATGGCAGTCCAAGCAGTCTAATAGAGAAGCTGATAGGCAAAGATAGAAATGCATGATTAGAGAACTTGAAGGGAAGATCTTGGAGAAAGGACAGCATGTTAAAGCCTGGTCATCAAAGTGTCTGTTAATTCAGGGTCTGGTGAAATGTCAGTGAGGCAGGAGCCCAGGGAAACTGGAGAAAACTGGGAAAGGAAAAAAAGTACTGAAATGTTTTGGAAAGAGTCTTGAATGCTAAAGTTAACAATTTCTAACTAATTGTGTTTGCGGTAAGAAACGAGCAGAAATGTTAAATAGAAGAGTGGCATGATTACATTTTAATAGGTTCTTTTACAGAGTGTGTGAAAGATATCACATGCAGCAAGGTAGAATGAAATATTAAGGGGAATAACAGGTTGGAGATACATACAATAAATCAGGTAAGAATTGATGAAGGGGCAAATGAAGCTGTAGGAATAAGGGAGAGAATCAAAGTTGGACTTGCTTCTAGACTTTGAATTTGGGCATGTTTTCACTGAGAATCATATGTCACTCTAATTCTTCCTTTGGAGGTAACTTATCTTTTTCTTCTGATTGCTTTTAAGATTATATCTTTGACTTAGTGTATAAGCTATCATGATATTTAGGTATAGGTTTCTTATTTCTACTTCTTATGATTTTTCAACTCTCTGAATCTAAGATTAAATTTTTTAATTAATTCTTAAATATTTTAGCACTTC